>NC_000023.11:59702580-59872086 GCF_000001405.40 Homo sapiens
CCTTGTAGTAGAATCTGCAAGTGTATATTTTGACCACTTTGTAGCCTTCGTTTGAAACGTCTATATCTTCACATCAAACCTAGACAGAAGCTTTCTCAGAAAGTTTTCTGCGATGACTGCATTCAACTCACAGAGTTGAACAATCCTTCTGATGGAGCAGTTTTGAAACCCTCTTTCTTTGGAATCTGCAAGGGGATATGTGGACCTCTTTGAAGATTTCACTGGAAACGGGATCATCTTCACATAAAAACTAAACAGAAGCATTCTCGGAAACTACTTTGTGATGTTTGTATTCAACTCCCAGAGTTGAACTTTCCTTTGGAAAGAGCAGCTATGAAACACTCTTTTTCGAGAATCTGCAAGTGGACGTTTGGAGGGCTTTGAGGCCTGTGGTGGAAAAGGAAATATCTTCACACAAAAACCAGATAGAAGCATTCTCAGAAACTACTTTGTGAGGATGGCATTCAACTCATGGAGTTGAACAATCCTATTGATAGAGCAGATTGGAATCACTCTTTTTATAGAATCTGCAAATGGAGATTTGGACTGCTTTGAGGCCTACGGTAGTACAGGAAGGAACTTCATATAAAAGGCAAACGGAAGCATTCTCAGAATATTCTTTGTGATGATGGAGTTTCACTCACAGAGCTGAACATGCCTTTTGATGGAGCAGTTTCCAAATACACTTTTGGTAGAATCTGCAGGTGGATATTTGGAGCTCTCTGAGGATTTCGTTGGAAACGGGAATAATTTCCCATAACTAAACACAAACACTCTGAGAAAGTTCTTCATGATGAATGCATTTAACTCGCAGAGATGAACCTGCCTTTGAGAGTTCAGGTTCGAAACACTCTTTCTGTATAATCTGCAAGTGGATATTTGGACCACTGGGTGGCCTTCGTTCGAAACGGGTATATGTTCACGTAAAAACTAAAGAGAAGCATTCTCAGAAACTTCTGAGTGATGATTGCATTCAAGTCACACAGTTGAACCCTCCTTTTGATGGAGCAGTTTTGAAACTGTCTTTTTGTAGAATCTGTAAGTGGATACGTGGACCTCTTTGAAGATTTCTTTGGAAACGGGAATATTTCCACAGAAAAACTAAACTGAAGCATTCTCAGAAACTGCTTTGTGATGTTTGTGTTCGAGCCACAGAGTTTAACATTGCTTTTCATAGAGCAGTTTTGAAATATTCTTTTCGCAGAATCTGCAAGTGGACATTTGGAGCGCTTTCAGGCCTGTGGTGGAAAAGGCCTGAAAGCCTTTTCCTTTATCTTCACAGAAAGACGAGAGAGAAGCATTGTCAGAAACTTCTTTGTGATGATTGCATTCAACTCACAGAGTTGAAGATTCCTTTTGAAACAGCTGTTTCGAAACACTCTTTCTGTGGGATCCCCAAGGGGATATTTGGACCTCTTTGAAGGTTTCGTTGGAAACGGGATAATCTTCACCTAAAAGCTAAACGGAAGCATTCTCAGAAACTTCTTTGGGATGTTTGCATTCACCTCACAGAGTTGAACTTTCCCTTTGATAGCGCAGCTTTGACACACTTTTTCTACAATGTGCAAGTGGCTATTTAGCGGGCTTGGAGGACTGTGTTGGAAAAGGAAATATCTTCTCCTAAAAACGACATAGAAGCATTCTCAGAAACTGCTCTGTGATGATTGCATTCAACTCCCAGAGTTGAACATTCCTTTTGATAGAGCAGTTTGCAAACACTCTTTTTGTAGAATCTGCAAGTGGAGATTTGGACCGCTTTGAGGCCTGTGGTAGTGAAAGAAAGAACTTCATATAAAAACCAGACGGTAGCACTCTCAGAAAATTCTTTGTGACGATGGAGTTTAACTCAGGGAGCTGAACATTCGTTATGATGGAGCAGTTTCCAAACACACGTTTTGTAGAATCTGCAAGGGGATATTTGGACCTCTCTGAGGATTTCGTTGGAAACGGGATCAACTTCCCATAACTGAACGGAAGCAAACTCAGAACATTCTTTGTGATGTTTGTATTCAACTCACAGAGTTGAACCTTCCTTTGATAGTTCAGGTTTGCAACACCCTTGTAGTAGAATCTGCAAGTGTATATTTTGACCACTTTGTAGCCTTCGTTTGAAACGTCTATATCTTCACATCAAACCTAGACAGAAGCATTCTCAGAAAGTTTTCTGCGATGACTGCATTCAACTCACAGAGTTGAACAATCCTTCTGATGGAGCAGTTTTGAAACCCTCTTTCTTTGGAATCTGCAAGGGGATATGTGGACCTCTTTGAAGATTTCACTGGAAACGGGATCATCTTCACATAAAAACTAAACAGAAGCATTCTCGGAAACTACTTTGTGATGTTTGTATTCAACTCCCAGAGTTGAACTTTCCTTTTGAAAGAGCAGCTATGAAACACTCTTTTTCGAGAATCTGCAAGTGGACGTTTGGAGGGCTTTGAGGCCTGTGGTGGAAAAGGAAATATCTTCACATAAAAACTAGATAGAAGCATTCTCAGAAACGACTTTGTGAGGATGGCATTCAACTCATGGAGTTGAACAATCCTATTGATAGAGCAGATTGGAATCACTCTTTTTGTAGAATCTGCAAATGGAGATTTGGACTGCTTTGAGGCCTACGGTCGTATAGGAAGGAAGTTCATATAAAAGGCAAACGGAAGCATTCTCAGAATATTCTTTGTGATGATGGAGTTTCACTCACAGAGCTGAACATGCCTTTTGATGGAGCAGTTTCCAAATACACTTTTGGTAGAATCTGCAGGTGGATATTTGGAGCTCTCTGAGGATTTCGTTGGAAACGGGAATAATTTCCCATAACTAAACACAAACACTCTGAGAAAGTTCTTCATGATGAATGCATTTAACTCGCAGAGATGAACCTGCCTTTGAGAGTTCAGGTTTCAAACACTCTTTCTGTATAATCTGCAAGTGGATATTTGGACCACTGGGTGGCCTTCGTTCGAAACGGGTATATGTTCACGTAAAAACTAAAGAGAAGCATTCTCAGAAACTTCTGAGTGATGATTGCATTCAAGTCACACGGTTGAACCCTCCTTTTGATGGAGCAGTTTTGAAACTGTCTTTTTGTAGAATCTGTAAGTGGATACGTGGACCTCTTTGAAGATTTCTTTGGAAACGGGAATATTTCCACAGAAAAACTAAACTGAAGCATTCTCAGAAACCTCTTTGTGATGTTTGTGTTCGAGCCACAGAGTTTAACATTGCTTTTCATAGAGCAGTTTTGAAATATTCTTTTCGCAGAATCTGCAAGTGGACACTTGGAGCGCTTTCAGGCCTGTGGTGGCAAAGGCCTGAAAGCCTTTTCCTTTATCTTCACAGAAAGACGAGAGAGAAGCATTGTCAGAAACTTCTTTGTGATGATTGCATTCAACTCACAGAGTTGAAGATTCCTTTTGAAACAGCAGTTTCGAAACACTCTTTCTGTGGGATCCGCAAGGGGATATTTGGACCTCTTTGAAGGTTTCGTTGGAAACGGGATAATCTTCACCTAAAAGCTAAACGGAAGCATTCTCAGAAACTTCTTTGGGATGTTTGCATTCACCTCACAGAGTTGAACTTTCCCTTTGATAGCGCAGCTTTGACACACTTTTTCTACAATGTGCAAGTGGCTATTTAGCGGGCTTGGAGGACTGTGTTGGAAAAGGAAATATCTTCTCCTAAAAACGACATAGAAGCATTCTCAGAAACTGCTCTGTGACGATTGCATTCAACTCCCAGAGTTGAACATTCCTTTTGATAGAGCAGTTTGCAAACACTCTTTTTGTAGAATCTGCAAGTGGAGATTTGGACCGCTTTGAGGCCTGTGGTAGTGAAGGAAAGAAATTCATATAAAAACCAGACGGTAGCACTCTCAGAAAATTCTTTGTGACGATGGAGTTTAACTCAGGGAGCTGAACATTCGTTATGATGGAGCAGTCTCCAAACACACGTTTTGTAGAATCTGCAAGGGGATATTTGGACCTCTCTGAGGATTTCGTTGGAAACGGGATCAACTTCCCATAACTGAACGGAAGCAAACTCAGAACATTCCTTGTGATGTTTGTATTCAACTCACAGAGTTGAACCTTCCTTTGATAGTTCAGGTTTGCAACACCCTTGTAGTAGAATCTGCAAGTGTATATTTTGACCACTTTGTAGCCTTCGTTTGAAACGTCTATATCTTCACATCAAACCTAGACAGAAGCCTTCTCAGAAAGTTTTCTGCGATGACTGCATTCAACTCACAGAGTTGAACAATCCTTCTGATGGAGCAGTTTTGAAACCCTCTTTCTTTGGAATCTGCAAGGGGATATGTGGACCTCTTTGAAGATTTCACTGGAAACGGGATCATCTTCACATAAAAACTAAACAGAAGCATTCTCGGAAACTACTTTGTGATGTTTGTATTCAACTCCCAGAGTTGAACTTTCCTTTTGAAAGAGCAGCTATGAAACACTCTTTTTCGAGAATCTGCAAGTGGACGTTTGGAGGGCTTTGAGGCCTGTGGTGGAAAAGGAAATATCTTCACATGAAAACTAGATAGAAGCATTCTCAGAAACGACTTTGTGAGGATGGCATTCAACTCATGGAGTTGAACAATCCTATTGATAGAGCAGATTGGAATCACTCTTTTTGTAGAATCTGCAAATGGAGATTTGGACTGCTTTGAGGCCTACGGTAGTATAGGAAGGAACTTCATATAAAAGGCAAACGGAAGCATTCTCAGAATATTCTTTTTGATGATGGAGTTTCACTCACAGAGCTGAACATGCCTTTTGATGGAGCAGTTTCCAAATACACTTTTGGTAGAATCTGCAGGTGGATATTTGGAGCTCTCTGAGGATTTCGTTGGAAACGGGAATAATTTCCCATAACTAAACACAAACACGCTGAGAAAGTTCTTCATGATGAATGCATTGAACTCGCAGAGATGAACCTGCCTTTGAGAGTTCAGGTTCGAAACACTCTTTCTGTAGAATCTGCAAGTGGATATTTGGACCACTGGCTGGCCTTCTTTCGAAACGGGTATATGTTCACGTAAAAACTAAAGAGAAGCGTTCTCAGAAACTTCTGAGTGATGATTGCATTCAAGTCACACAGTTGAACCCTCCTTTTGATTGAGCAGTTTTGAAACTGTCTTTTTGTAGAATCTGTAAGTGGATGCGTGGACCTCTTTGAAGATTTCTTTGGAAACGGGAATATTTCCACAGAAAAACTAAACTGAAGCATTCTCAGAAACGGCTTTGTGATGTTTGTGTTCGAGCCACAGAGTTTAACATTGCTTTTCGTAGAGCAGTTTTGAAATATTCTTTTGGCAGAATCTGCAAGTGGACATTTGGAGCGCTTTCAGGCCTGTGGTGGAAAAGGCCTGAAAGCCTTTTCCTTTATCTTCACAGAAAGACGAGAGAGAAGCATTGTCAGAAACTTCTTTGTGATGATTGCATTCAACTCACAGAGTTGAAGATTCCTTTTGAAACAGCAGTTTCGAAACACTCTTTCTGTGGGATCCGCAGGGGGATATTTGGACCTCTTTGAAGATTTCGTTGGAAACGGGATAATCTTCACCTAAAAGCTAAACGGAAGTATTCTCAGAAACTTCTTTGGGATGTTTGCATTCACCTCACAGAGTTGAACTTTCCCTTTGATAGCGCAGCTTCGACACACTTTTTCTACAATGTGCAAGTGGATATTTAGCGGGCTTGGAGGACTGTGTTGGAAAAGGAAATATCTTCTCCTAAAAACGACATAGAAGCATTCTCAGAAACTGCTCTGTGATGATTGCTTTCAACTCCCAGAGTTGAACATTCCTTTTGATAGAGCAGTTTGCAAACACTCTTTTTGTAGAATCTGCAAGTGGAGATTTGGACCGCTTTGAGGTCTGTGGTAGTAAAGGAAAGAACTTCATATAAAAACTAGACGGTAGCACTCTCAGAAAATTCTTTGTGACGATGGAGTTTAACTCAGAGAGCTGAACATTCGTTATGATGGAGCAGTTTCCAAACACACGTTTTGTAGAATCTGCAAGGGGATATTTGGACCTCTCTGAGGATTTCGTTGGAAACGGTATCAATTTCCCATAACTGAACGGAAGCAAACTCAGAACATTTTTTGTGATGGTTGCATTCATCTCACAGAGTTGAACCTTCCTTTGATAGTTGAGGTTTGCATCACCCTTGTAGTAGAATCTGCAAGTGTATATTTTGACCACTTTGTAGCCTTCGTTTGAAACGTCTATATCTTCACATCAAACCTAGACAGAAGCATTCTCAGAAAGTTTTCTGCGATGACTGCATTCAACTCACAGAGTTGAACAATCCTTTTGATGGAGCAGTTTTGAAACCCTCTTTCTTTGGAATCTGCAAGGGGATATGTGGACCTCTTTGAAGATTTCACTGGAAACGGGATCATCTTCACATAAGAACTAAACAGAAGCATTCTCGGAAACTACTTTGTGATGTTTGTATTCAACTCCCAGAGTTGAACTTTCCTTTTGAAAGAGCAGCTATGAAACACTCTTTTTCGAGAATCTGCAAGTGGACGTTTGGAGGGCTTTGAGGCCTGTGGTGGAAAAGGAAATATCTTCACATAAAAACTAGAATAGAAGCATTCTCAGAAACGACTTTGTGAGGATGGCATTCAACTCATGGAGTTGAACAATCCTATTGATAGAGCAGATTGGAATCACTCTTTTTGTAGAATCTGCAAATGGAGATTTGGACTGCTTTGAGGCCTCCGGTCGTATAGGAAGGAACTTCATATAAAAGGCAAACGGAAGCATTCTCAGAATATTCTTTGTGATGATGGAGTTTCACTCACAGAGCTGAACATGCCTGTTGATGGAGCAGTTTCCAAATACACTTTTGGTAGAATCTGCAGGTGGACATTTGGACCTCTCTGAGGATTTCGTTGGGAACGGGAATAATTTCCCATAACTAAACACAAACACGCTGAGAAAGTTCTTCATGATGAATGCATTTAACTCGCAGAGATGAACCTGCCTTTGAGAGTTCAGGTTCGAAACACTCTTTCTGTAGAATCTGCAAGTGGATATTTGGACCACTGGCTGGCCTTCGTTCGAAACGGGTATATGTTCACGTAAAAACTAAAGAGAAGCGTTCTCAGAAACTTCTGAGTGATGATTGCATTCAAGTCACACAGTTGAACCCTCCTTTTGATTGAGCAGTTTTGAAACTGTCTTTTTGTAGAATCTGTAAGTGGATGCGTGGACCTCTTTGAAGATTTCTTTGGAAACGGGAATATTTCCACAGAAAAACTAAACTGAAGCATTCTCAGAAACTGCTTTGTGATCTTTGTGTTCGAGCCACAGAGTTTAACATTGCTTTTCATAGAGCAGTTTTGAAATATTCTTTTGGCAGAATCTGCAAGTGGACATTTGGAGCCCTTTCAGGCCTGTGGTGGAAAAGGCCTGAAAGCCTTTTCCTTAATCTTCACAGAAAGACGAGAGAGAAGCATTGTCAGAAACTTCTTTGTGATGATTGCATTCAACTCACAGAGTTGAAGATTCCTTTTGAAACAGCAGTTTCGAAACACTCTTTCTGTGGGATCCGCAAGGGGATATTTGGACCTCTTTGAAGGTTTCGTTGGAAACGGGATAATCTTCACCTAAAAGCTAAACGGAAGCATTCTCAGAAACTTCTTTGGGATGTTTGCATTCACCTCACAGAGTTGAACTTTCCCTTTGATAGCGCAGCTTTGACACACTTTTTCTACAATGTGCAAGTGGCTATTTAGCGGGCTTGGAGGACTGTGTTGGAAAAGGAAATATCTTCTCCTAAAAACGACATAGAAGCATTCTCAGAAACTGCTCTGTGATGATTGCATTCAACTCCCAGAGTTGAACATTCCTTTTGATAGAGCAGTTTGCAAACACTCTTTTTGTAGAATCTGCAAGTGGAGATTTGGACCGCTTTGAGGCCTGTGGTAGTGAAGGAAAGAACTTCATATAAAAACCAGACGGTAGCACTCTCAGAAAATTCTTTGTGACGATGGAGTTTAACTCAGGGAGCTGAACATTCGTTATGATGGAGCAGTTTCCAAACACACGTTTTGTAGAATCTGCGAGGGGATATTTGGACCTCTCTGAGGATTTCGTTGGAAACGGGATCAACTTCCCATAACTGAACGGAAGCAAACTCAGAACATTCTTTGTGATGTTTGTATTCAACTCACAGAGTTGAACCTTCCTTTGATAGTTCAGGTTTGCAACACCCTTGTAGTAGAATCTGCAAGTGTATATTTTGACCACTTTGTAGCCTTCGTTTGAAACGTCTATATCTTCACATCAAACCTAGACAGAAGCATTCTCAGAAAGTTTTCTGCGATGACTGCATTCAACTCACAGAGTTGAACAATCCTTCTGATGGAGCAGTTTTGAAACCCTCTTTCTTTGGAATCTGCAAGGGGATATGTGGACCTCTTTGAAGATTTCACTGGAAACGGGATCGATCATCTTCACATAAAAACTAAACAGAAGCATTCTCGGAAACTACTTTGTGATGTTTGTATTCAACTCCCAGAGTTGAACTTTCCTTTTGAAAGAGCAGCTATGAAACACTCTTTTTCGAGAATCTGCAAGTGGACGTTTGGAGGGCTTTGAGGCCTGTGGTGGAAAAGGAAATATCTTCACATAAAAACTAGATAGAAGCATTCTCAGAAACGACTTTGTGAGGATGGCATTCAACTCATGGAGTTGAACAATCCTATTGATAGAGCAGATTGGAATCACTCTTTTTGTAGAATCTGCAAATGGAGATTTGGACTGCTTTGAGGCCTAAGGTAGTATAGGAAGGAACTTCATATAAAAGGCAAACGGAAGCATTCTCAGAATATTCTTTGTGATGATGGAGTTTCACTCACAGAGCTGAACATGCCTTTTGATGGAGCAGTTTCCAAATACACTTTTGGTAGAATCTGCAGGTGGATATTTGGAGCTCTCTGAGGATTTCGTTGGAAACGGGAATAATTTCCCATAACTAAACACAAACACTCTGAGAAAGTTCTTCATGATGAATGCATTTAACTCGCAGAGATGAACCTGCCTTTGAGAGTTCAGGTTCGAAACACTCTTTCTGTAGAATCTGCAAGTGGATATTTGGACCACTGGCTGGCCTTCGTTCGAAACGGGTATATGTTCACGTAAAAACTAAAGAGAAGCATTCTCAGAAACTTCTGAGTGATGATTGCATTCAAGTCACACAGTTGAACCCTCCTTTTGATGGAGCAGTTTTGAAACTGTCTTTTTGTAGAATCTGTAAGTGGATACGTGGACCTCTTTGAAGATTTCTTTGGAAACGGGAATATTTCCACAGAAAAACTAAACTGAAGCATTCTCAGAAACTGCTATGTGATGTTTGTGTTCGAGCCACAGAGTTTAACATTGCTTTTCATAGAGCAGTTTTGAAATATTCTTTTGGCAGAATCTGCAAGTGGACATTTGGAGCGCTTTCAGGCCTGTGGTTGAAAAGGCCTGAAAGCCTTTTCCTTTATCTTCACAGAAAGACGAGAGAGAAGCATTGTCAGAAACTTCTTTGTGATGATTGCATTCAACTCACAGAGTTGAAGATTCCTTTTGAAACAGCAGTTTCGAAACACTCTTTCTGTGGGATCCGCAAGGGGATATTTGGACCTCTTTGAAGGTTTCGTTGGAAACGGGATAATCTTCACCTAAAAGCTAAACGGAAGCACTCTCAGAAACTTCTTTGGGATGTTTGCATTCACCTCACAGAGTTGAACTTTCCCTTTGATAGCGCAGCTTTGACACACTTTTTCTACAATGTGCAAGTGGATATTTAGCGGGCGTGGAGGACTGTGTTGGAAAAGGAAATATCTTCTCCTAAAAACGACATAGAAGCATTCTCAGAAACTGCTCTGTGATGATTGCATTCAACTCCCAGAGTTGAACATTCCTTTTGATAGAGCAGTTTGCAAACACTCTTTTTGTAGAATCTGCAAGTGGAGATTTGGACCGCTTTGAGGCCTGTGGTAGTGAAGGAAAGAACTTCATATAAAAACCAGACGGTAGCACTCTCAGAAAATTCTTTGTGACGATGGAGTTTAACTCAGGGAGCTGAACATTCGTTATGATGGAGCAGTTTCCAAACACACGTTTTGTAGAATCTGCAAGGGGATATTTGGACCTCTCTGAGGATTTCGTTGGAAACGGGATCAACTTCCCATAACTGAACGGAAGCAAACTCAGAACATTCTTTGTGATGTTTGTATTCAACTCACAGAGTTGAACCTTCCTTTGATAGTTCAGGTTTGCAACACCCTTGTAGTAGAATCTGCAAGTGTATATTTTGACCACTTTGTAGCCTTCGTTTGAAACGTCTATATCTTCACATCAAACCTAGACAGAAGCATTCTCAGAAAGTTTTCTGCGATGACTGCATTCAACTCACAGAGTTGAACAATCCTTCTGATGGAGCAGTTTTGAAACCCTCTTTCTTTGGAATCTGCAAGGGGATATGTGGACCTCTTTGAAGATTTCACTGGAAACGGGATCATCTTCACATAAAAACTAAACTGAAGCATTCTCGGAAACTATTTTGTGATGTTTGTATTCAACTCCCAGAGTTGAACTTTCCTTTTGAAAGAGCAGCTATGAAACACTCTTTTTCGAGAATCTGCAAGTGGACGTTTGGAGGGCTTTGAGGCCTGTGGTGGAAAAGGAAATATCTTCACACAAAAACCAGATAGAAGCATTCTCAGAAACTACTTTGTGAGGATGGCATTCAACTCATGGAGTTGAACAATCCTATTGATAGAGCAGATTGGAATCACTCTTTTTATAGAATCTGCAAATGGAGATTTGGACTGCTTTGAGGCCTACGGTAGTACAGGAAGGAACTTCATATAAAAGGCAAACGGAAGCATTCTCAGAATATTCTTTGTGATGATGGAGTTTCACTCACAGAGCTGAACATGCCTTTTGATGGAGCAGTTTCCAAATACACTTTTGGTAGAATCTGCAGGTGGATATTTGGAGCTCTCTGAGGATTTCGTTGGAAACGGGAATAATTTCCCATAACTAAACACAAACACTCTGAGAAAGTTCTTCATGATGAATGCATTTAACTCGCAGAGATGAACCTGCCTTTGAGAGTTCAGGTTCGAAACACTCTTTCTGTAGAATCTGCAAGTGGATATTTGGACCACTGGGTGGCCTTCGTTCGAAACGGGTATATGTTCACGTAAAAACTAAAGAGAAGCATTCTCAGAAACTTCTGAGTGATGATTGCATTCAATTCACACAGTTGAACCCTCCTTTTGATGGAGCAGTTTTGAAACTGTCTTTCTGTAGAATCTGTAAGTGGATACGTGGACCTCTTTGAAGATTTCTTTGGAAACGGGAATATTTCCACAGAAAAACTAAACTGAAGCATTCTCAGAAACTGCTTTGTGATGTTTGTGTTCGAGCCACAGAGTTTAACAATGCTTTTCATAGAGCAGTTTTGAAATATTCTTTTGGCAGAATCTGCAAGTGGACATTTGGAGCGCTTTCAGGCCTGTGGTGGAAAAGGCCTGAAAGCCTTTTCCTTTATTTTCACAGAAAGACGAGAGAGAAGCATTGTCAGAAACTTCTTTGTGATGATTGCATTCAACTCACAGAGTTGAAGATTCCTTTTGAAACAGCAGTTTCGAAACACTCTTTCTGTGGGATCCGCAAGGGGATATTTGGACCTCTTTGAAGGTTTCGTTGGAAACGGGATAATCTTCACCTAAAAGCTAAACGGAAGCATTCTCAGAAACTTCTTTGGGATGTTTGCATTCACCTCACAGAGTTGAACTTTCCCTTTGATAGCGCAGCTTTGACACACTTTTTCTACAATGTGCAAGTGGCTATTTAGCGGGCTTGGAGGATTGTGTTGGAAAAGGAAATATCTTCTCCTAAAAACGACATAGAAGCATTCTCAGAAACTGCTCTGTGATGATTGCATTCAACTCCCAGAGTTGAACATTCCTTTTGATAGAGCAGTTTGCAAACACTCTTTTTGTAGAATCTGCAAGTGGAGATTTGGACCGCTTTGAGGCCTGTGGTAGTGAAGGAAAGAACTTCATATAAAAACCAGACGGTAGCACTCTCAGAAAATTCTTTGTGACGATGGAGTTTAACTCAGGGAGCTGAACATTCGTTATGATGGAGCAGTTTCCAAACACACGTTTTGTAGAATCTGCAAGGGGATATTTAGACCTCTCTGAGGATTTCGTTGGAAACGGGATCAACTTCCCATAACTGAACGGAAGCAAACTCAGAACATTCTTTGTGATGTTTGTATTCAACTCACAGAGTTGAACCTTCCTTTGATAGTTCAGGTTTGCAACACCCTTGTAGTAGAATCTGCAAGTGTATATTTTGACCACTTTGTAGCCTTCGTTTGAAACGTCTATATCTTCACATCAAACCTAGACAGAAGCATTCTCAGAAAGTTTTCTGCGATGACTGCATTCCACTCACAGAGTTGAACAATCCTTCTGATGGAGCAGTTTTGAAACCCTCTTTCTTTGGAATCTGCAAGGGGATATGTGGACCTCTTTGAAGATTTCACTGGAAACGGGATCATCTTCACATAAAAACTAAACAGAAGCATTCTCGGAAACTACTTTGTGATGTTTGTATTCAACTCCCAGAGTTGAACTTTCCTTTTGAAAGAGCAGCTATGAAACACTCTTTTTCGAGAATCTGCAAGTGGACGTTTGGAGGGCTTTGAGGCCTGTGGTGGAAAAGGAAATATCTTCACATTAAAACTAGATAGAAGCATTCTCAGAAACTACTTTGTGAGGATGGCATTCAACTCATGGAGTTGAACAATCCTATTGATAGAGCAGATTGGAATCACTCTTTTTGTAGAATCTGCAAACGGAGATTTGGACTGCTTTGAGGCCTACGGTAGTATAGGAAGGAACTTCATATAAAAGGCAAACGGAAGCATTCTCAGAATATTCTTTGTGATGATGGAGTTTCACTCACAGAGCTGAACATGCCTTTTGATGGAGCAGTTTCCAAATACACTTTTGGTAGAATCTGCAGGTGGATATTTGGAGCTCTCTGAGGATTTCGTTGGAAACGGGAATAATTTCCCATAACTAAACACAAACACTCTGAGAAAGTTCTTCATGATGAATGCTTTTAACTCGCAGAGATGAACCTGCCTTTGAGAGTTCAGGTTCGAAACACTCTTTCTGTAGAATCTGCAAGTGGATATTTGGACCACTGGGTGGCCTTCGTTCGAAACGGGTATATGTTCACGTAAAAACTAAAGAGAAGCATTCTCAGAAACTTCTGAGTGATGATTGCATTCAAGTCACACAGTTGAACCCTCCTTTTGATGGAGCAGTTTTGAAACTGTCTTTTTGTAGAATCTGTAAGTGGATACGTGGACCTCTTTGAAGATTTCTTTGGAAACGGGAATATTTCCACAGAAAAACTAAACTGAAGCATTCTCAGAAACCGCTTTGTGATGTTTGTGTTCGAGCCACAGAGTTTAACATTGCTTTTCATAGAGCAGTTTTGAAATATTCTTTTCGCAGAATCTGCAAGTGGACATTTGGAGCGCTTTCAGGCCTGTGGTGGAAAAGGCCTGAAAGCCTTTTCCTTTATCTTCACAGAAAGACGAGAGAGAAGCATTGTCAGAAACTTCTTTGTGATGATTGCATTCAACTCACAGAGTTGAAGATTCCTTTTGAAACAGCAGTTTCGAAACACTCTTTCTGTGGGATCCGCAAGGGGATATTTGGACCTCTTTGAAGGTTTCGTTGGAAACGGGATAATCTTCACCTAAAAGCTAAACGGAAGCATTCTCAGAAACTTCTTTGGGATGTTTGCATTCACCTGACAGAGTTGAACTTTCCCTTTGATAGCGCAGCTTTGACACACTTTTTCTACAATGTGCAAGTGGCTATTTAGCGGGCTTGGAGGACTGTGTTGGAAAAGGAAATATCTTCTCCTAAAAACGACATAGAAGCATTCTCAGAAACTGCTCTGTGATGATTGCATTCAACTCCCAGAGTTGAACATTCCTTTTGATAGAGCAGTTTGCAAACACTCTTTTTGTAGAATCTGCAAGTGGAGATTTGGACCGCTTTGAGGCCTGTGGTAGTGAAGGAAAGAACTTCATATAAAAACCAGACGGTAGCACTCTCAGAAAATTCTTTGTGACGATGGAGTTTAACTCAGGGAGCTGAACATTCGTTATGATGGAGCAGTTTCCAAACACACGTTTTGTAGAATCTGCGAGGGGATATTTGGACCTCTCTGAGGATTTCGTTGGAAACGGGATCAACTTCCCATAACTGAACGGAAGCAAACTCAGAACATTCTTTGTGATGTTTGTATTCAACTCACAGAGTTGAACCATCCTTTGATAGTTCAGGTTTGTAACACCCTTGTAGTAGAATCTGCAAGTGTATATTTTGACCACTTTGTAGCCTTCGTTTGAAACGTCTATATCTTCACATCAAACCTAGACAGAAGCATTCTCAGAAAGTTTTCTGCGATGACTGCATTCAACTCACAGAGTTGAACAATCCTTCTGATGGAGCAGTTTTGAAACCCTCTTTCTTTGGAATCTGCAAGGGGATATGTGGACCTCTTTGAAGATTTCACTGGAAACGGGATCATCTTCACATAAAAACTAAACAGAAGCATTCTCGGAAACTACTTTGTGATGTTTGTATTCAACTCCCAGAGTTGAACTTTCCTTTTGAAAGAGCAGCTATGAAACACTCTTTTTCGAGAATCTGCAAGTGGACGTTTGGAGGGCTTTGAGGCCTGTGGTGGAAAAGGAAATATCTTCACATAAAAACTAGATAGAAGCATTCTCAGAAACGACTTTGTGAGGATGGCATTCAACTCATGGAGTTGAACAATCCTATTGATAGAGCAGATTGGAATCACTCTTTTTGTAGAATCTGCAAATGGAGATTTGGACTGCTTTGAGGCCTACGGTCGTATAGGAAGGAACTTCATATAAAAGGCAAACGGAAGCATTCTCAGAATGTTCTTTGTGATGATGGAGTTTCACTCACAGAGCTGAACATGCCTTTTGATGGAGCAGTTTCCAAATACACTTTTGGTAGAATCTGCAGGTGGATATTTGGAGCTCTCTGAGGATTTCATTGGAAACGGGAATAATTTCCCATAACTAAACACAAACACTCTGAGAAAGTTCTTCATGATGAATGCATTTAACTCGCAGAGATGAACCTGCCTTTGAGAGTTCAGGTTCGAAACACTCTTTCTGTATAATCTGCAAGTGGATATTTGGACCACTGGGTGGCCTTCGTTCGAAACGGGTATATGTTCACGTAAAAACTAAAGAGAAGCATTCTCAGAAACTTCTGAGTGATGATTGCATTCAAGTCACACGGTTGAACCCTCCTTTTGATGGAGCAGTTTTGAAACTGTCTTTTTGTAGAATCTGTAAGTGGATACGTGGACCTCTTTGAAGATTTCTTTGGAAACGGGAATATTTCCACAGAAAAACTAAACTGAAGCATTCTCAGAAACCGCTTTGTGATGTTTGTGTTCGAGCCACAGAGTTTAACATTGCTTTTCATAGAGCAGTTTTGAAATATTCTTTTCGCAGAATCTGCAAGTGGACATTTGGAGCGCTTTCAGGCCTGTGGTGGAAAAGGGCCTGAAAGCCTTTTCCTTTATCTTCACAGAAAGACGAGAGAGAAGCATTGTCAGAAACTTCTTTGTGATGATTGCATTCAACTCACAGAGTTGAAGATTCCTTTTGAAACAGCAGTTTCGAAACACTCTTTCTGTGGGATCCGCAAGGGGATATTTGGACCTCTTGGAAGGTTTCGTTGGAAACGGGATAATCTTCACCTAAAAGCTAAACGGAAGCATTCTCAGAAACTTCTTTGGGATGTTTGCATTCACCTCACAGAGTTGAACTTTCCCTTTGATAGCGCAGCTTTGACACACTTTTTCTACAATGTGCAAGTGGCTATTTAGCGGGCTTGGAGGACTGTGTTGGAAAAGGAAATATCTTCTCCTAAAAACGACATAGAAGCATTCTCAGAAACTGCTCTGTGATGATTGCATTCAACTCCCAGAGTTGAACATTCCTTTTGATAGAGCAGTTTGCAAACTCTCTTTTTGTAGAATCTGCAAGTGGAGATTTGGACCGCTTTGAGGCCTGTGGTAGTGAAGGAAAGAACTTCATATAAAAACCAGACGGTAGCACTCTCAGAAAATTCTTTGTGACGATGGAGTTTAACTCAGGGAGCTGAACATTCGTTATGATGGAGCAGTTTCCAAACACACGTTTTGTAGAATCTGCAAGGGGATATTTGGACCTCTCTGAGGATTTCGTTGGAAACGGGATCAACTTCCCATAACTGAACGGAAGCAAACTCAGAACATTCTTTGTGATGTTTGTATTCAACTCACAGAGTTGAACCTTCCTTTGATAGTTCAGGTTTGCAACACCCTTGTAGTAGAATCTGCAAGTGTATATTTTGACCACTTTGTAGCCTTCGTTTGAAACGTCTATATCTTCACATCAAACCTAGACAGAAGCATTCTCAGAAAGTTTTCTGCGATGACTGCATTCAACTCACAGAGTTGAACAATCCTTCTGATGGAGCAGTTTTGAAACCCTCTTTCTTTGGAATCTGCAAGGGGATATGTGGACCTCTTTGAAGATTTCACTGGAAACGGGATCATCTTCACATAAAAACTAAACAGAAGCATTCTCGGAAACTACTTTGTGATGTTTGTATTCAACTCCCAGAGTTGAACTTTCCTTTTGAAAGAGCAGCTATGAAACACTCTTTTTCGAGAATCTGCAAGTGGACGTTTGGAGGGCTTTGAGGCCTGTGGTGGAAAAGGAAATATCTTCACATAAAAACTAGATAGAAGCATTCTCAGAAACTACTTTGTGAGGATGGCATTCAACTCATGGAGTTGAACAGTCCTATTGATAGAGCAGATTGGAATCACTCTTTTTGTAGAATCTGCAAATGGAGATTTGGACTGCTTTGAGGCCTACGGTAGTATAGGAAGGAACTTCATATAAAAGGCAAACGGAAGCATTCTCAGAATATTCTTTGTGATGATGGAGTTTCACTCACAGAGCTGAACATGCCTTTTGATGGAGCAGTTTCCAAATACACTTTTGGTAGAATCTGCAGGTGGATATTTGGAGCTCTCTGAGGATTTCGTTGGAAACGGGAATAATTTCCCATAACTAAACACAAACACGCTGAGAAAGTTCTTCATGATGAATGCATTTAACTCGCAGAGATGAACCTGCCTTTGAGAGTTCAGGTTCGAAACACTCTTTCTGTAGAATCTGCAAGTGGATATTTGGACCACTGGCTGGCCTTCGTTCGAAACGGGTATATGTTCACGTAAAAACTAAAGAGAAGCGTTCTCAGAAACTTCTGAGTGATGAATGCATTCAAGTCACACAGTTGAACCCTCCTTTTGATTGAGCAGTTTTGAAACTGTCTTTTTGTAGAATCTGTAAGTGGATGCGTGGACCTCTTTGAAGATTTCTTTGGAAACGGGAATATTTCCACAGAAAAACTAAACTGAAGCATTCTCAGAAACTGCTTTGTGATGTTTGTGTTCGAGCCGCAGAGTTTAACATTGCTTTTCATAGAGCAGTTTTGAAATATTCTTTTGGCAGAATCTGCAAGTGGACATTTGGAGCGCTTTCAGGCCTGTGGTGGAAATGGCCTGAAAGCCTTTTCCTTTATCTTCACAGAAAGACGAGAGAGAAGCATTGTCAGAAACTTCTTTGTGATGATTGCATTCAACTCACAGAGTTGAAGATTCCTTTTGAAACAGCAGTTTCGAAACACTCTTTCTGTGGGATCCGCAAGGGGATATTTGGACCTCTTTGAAGATTTCGTTGGAAACGGGATAATCTTCACTTAAAGCTAAACGGAAGCATTCTCAGAAACTTCTTTGGGATGTTTGCATTCACCTCACAGAGTTGAACTTTCCCTTTGATAGCGCAGCTTCGACACACTTTTTCTACAATGTGCAAGTGGCTATTTAGCGGGCTTGGAGGACTGTGTTGGAAAAGGAAATATCTTCTCCTAAAAACGACATAGAAGCATTCTCAGAAACTGCTCTGTGATGATTGCATTCAACTCCCAGAGTTGAACATTCCTTTTGATAGAGCAGTTTGCAAACACTCTTTTTGTAGAATCTGCAAGTGGAGATTTGGACCGCTTTGAGGCCTGTGATAGTGAAGGAAAGAACTTCATATAAAAACCAGACGGTAGCACTCTCAGAAAATTCTTTGTGACGATGGAGTTTAACTCAGGGAGCTGAACATTCGTTATGATGGAGCAGTTTCCAAACACACGTTTTGTAGAATCTGCGAGGGGATATTTGGACCTCTCTGAGTATTTCGTTGGAAACGGGATCAACTTCCCATAACTGAACGGAAGCAAACTCAGAACATTCTTTGTGATGTTTGTATTCAACTCACAGAGTTGAACCTTCCTTTGATAGTTCAGGTTTGCAACACCCTTGTAGTAGAATCTGCAAGTGTATATTTTGACCACTTTGTAGCCTTCGTTTGAAACGTCTATATCTTCACATCAAACCTAGACAGAAGCATTCTCAGAAAGTTTTCTGCGATGACTGCATTCAACTCACAGAGTTGAACAATCCTTCTGATGGAGCAGTTTTGAAACCCTCTTTCTTTGGAATCTGCAAGGGGATATGTGGACCTCTTTGAAGATTTCACTGGAAACGGGATCATCTTCACATAAAAACTAAACAGAAGCATTCTCGGAAACTACTTTGTGATGTTTGTATTCAACTCCCAGAGTTGAACTTTCCTTTTGAAAGAGCAGCTATGAAACACTCTTTTTCGAGAATCTGCAAGTGGACGTTTGGAGGGCTTTGAGGCCTGTGGTGGAAAAGGAAATATCTTCACATAAAAACTAGATAGAAGCATTCTCAGAAACGACTTTGTGAGGATGGCATTCAACTCATGGAGTTGAACAATCCTATTGATAGAGCAGATTGGAATCACTCTTTTTGTAGAATCTGCAAATGGAGATTTGGACTGCTTTGAGGCCTACGGTCGTATAGGAAGGAACTTCATATAAAAGGCAAACGGAAGCATTCTCAGAATATTCTTTGTGATGATGGAGTTTCACTCACAGAGCTGAACATGCCTTTTGATGGAGCAGTTTCCAAATACACTTTTGGTAGAATCTGCAGGTGGATATTTGGACCTCTCTGAGGATTTCGTTGGAAACGGGAATAATTTCCCATAACTAAACACAAACACTCTGAGAAAGTTCTTCATGATGAATGCATTTAACTCGCAGAGATGAACCTGCCTTTGAGAGTTCAGGTTCGAAACACTCTTTCTGTATAATCTGCAAGTGGATATTTGGACCACTGGGTGGCCTTCGTTCGAAACGGGTATATGTTCACGTAAAAACTAAAGAGAAGCATTCTCAGAAACTTCTGAGTGATGATTGCATTCAAGTCACACAGTTGAACCCTCCTTTTGATGGAGCAGTTTTGAAACTGTCTTTTTGTAGAATCTGTAAGTGGATACGTGGACCTCTTTGAAGATTTCTTTGGAAACGGGAATATTTCCACAGAAAAACTAAACTGAAGCATTCTCAGAAACTGCTTTGTGATGTTTGTGTTCGAGCCACAGAGTTTAACATTGCTTTTCATAGAGCAGTTTTGAAATATTCTTTTCGCAGAATCTGCAAGTGGACATTTGGAGCGCTTTCAGGCCTGTGGTGGAAAAGGCCTGAAAGCCTTTTCTTTATCTTCACAGAAAGACGAGAGAGAAGCATTGTCAGAAACTTCTTTGTGATGATTGCATTCAACTCACAGAGTTGAAGATTCCTTTTGAAACAGCAGTTTCGAAACACTCTTTCTGTGGGATCCGCAAGGGGATATTTGCACCTCTTTGAAGGTTTCGTTGGAAACGGGATAATCTTCACCTAAAAGCTAAACGGAAGCATTCTCAGAAACTTCTTTGGGATGTTTGCATTCACCTCACAGAGTTGAACTTTCCCTTTGATAGCGCAGCTTTGACACACTTTTTCTACAATGTGCAAGTGGCTATTTAGCGGGCTTGGAGGACTGTGTTGGAAAAGGAAATATCTTCTCCTAAAAACGACATAGAAGCATTCTCAGAAACTGCTCTGTGATGATTGCATTCAACTCCCAGAGTTGAACATTCCTTTTGATAGAGCAGTTTGCAAACACTCTTTTTGTAGAATCTGCAAGTGGAGATTTGGACCGCTTTGAGGCCTGTGGTAGTGAAGGAAAGAACTTCATATAAAAACCAGACGGTAGCACTCTCAGAAAATTCTTTGTGACGATGGAGTTTAACTCAGGGAGCTGAACATTCGTTATGATGGAGCAGTTTCCAAACACACGTTTTGTAGAATCTGCGAGGGGATATTTGGACCTCTCTGAGGATTTCGTTGGAAAAGGGATCAACTTCCCATAACTGAACGGAAGCAAACTCAGAACATTCTTTGTGATGTTTGTATTCAACTCACAGAGTTGAACCTTCCTTTGATAGTTCAGGTTTGCAACACCCTTGTAGTAGAATCTGCAAGTGTATATTTTGACCACTTTGTAGCCTTCGTTTGAAACGTCTATATCTTCACATCAAACCTAGACAGAAGCATTCTCAGAAAGTTTTCTGCGATGACTGCATTCAACTCACAGAGTTGAACAATCCTTCTGATGGAGCAGTTTTGAAACCCTCTTTCTTTGGAATCTGCAAGGGGATATGTGGACCTCTTTGAAGATTTCACTGGAAACGGGATCATCTTCACATAAAAACTAAACAGAAGCATTCTCGGAAACTACTTTGTGATGTTTGTATTCAACTCCCAGAGTTGAACTTTCCTTTTGAAAGAGCAGCTATGAAACACTCTTTTTCGAGAATCTGCAAGTGGACGTTTGGAGGGCTTTGAGGCCTGTGGTGGAAAAGGAAATATCTTCACATAAAAACTAGATAGAAGCATTCTCAGAAACGACTTTGTGAGGATGGCATTCAACTCATGGAGTTGAACAATCCTATTGATAGAGCAGATTGGAATCACTCTTTTTGTAGAATCTGCAAATGGAGATTTGGACTGCTTTGAGGCCTACGGTCGTATAGGAAGGAACTTCATATAAAAGGCAAACGGAAGCATTCTCAGAATATTCTTTGTGATGATGGAGTTTCACTCACAGAGCTGAACATGCCTTTTGATGGAGCAGTTTCCAAATACACTTTTGGTAGAATCTGCAGGTGGATATTTGGAGCTCTCTGAGGATTTCGTTGGAAACGGGAATAATTTCCCATAACTAAACACAAACACTCTGAGAAAGTTCTTCATGATGAATGCATTTAACTCGCAGAGATGAACCTGCCTTTGAGAGTTCAGGTTCGAAACACTCTTTCTGTAGAATCTGCAAGTGGATATTTGGACCACTGTGTGGCCTTCGTTCGAAACGGGTATATGTTCACGTAAAAACTAAAGAGAAGCATTCTCAGAAACTTGTGAGTGATGATTGCATTCAAGTCACACAGTAGAACCCTCCTTTTGATGGAGCAGTTTTGAAACTGTCTTTTTGTAGAATCTGTAAGTGGATACGTGGACCTCTTTGAAGATTTCTTTGGAAACGGGAATATTTCCACAGAAAAACTAAACTGAAGCATTCTCAGAAACCGCTTTGTGATGTTTGTGTTCGAGCCACAGAGTTTAACATTGCTTTTCATAGAGCAGTTTTGAAATATTCTTTTGGCAGAATCTGCAAGTGGACATTTGGAGCGCTTTCAGGCCTGTGGTGGAAAAGGCCTGAAAGCCTTTTCCTTTATCTTCACAGAAAGACGAGAGAGAAGCATTGTCAGAAACTTCTTTGTGATGATTGCATTCAACTCACAGAGTTGAAGATTCCTTTTGAAACAGCAGTTTCGAAACACTCTTTCTGTGGGATCCGCAAGGGGATATTTGGACCTCTTTGAAGGTTTCGTTGGAAACGGGATAATCCTCACCTAAAAGCTAAACGGGAAGCATTCTCAGAAACTTCTTTGGGATGTTTGCATTCACCTCACAGAGTTGAACTTTCCCTTTGATAGCGCAGCTTCGACACACTTTTTCTACAATGTGCAAGTGGATATTTAGCGGGCTTGGAGGACTGTGTTGGAAAAGGAAATATCTTCTCCTAAAAACGACATAGAAGCATTCTCAGAAACTGCTCTGTGATGATTGCATTCAACTCCCAGAGTTGAACATTCCTTTTGATAGAGCAGTTTGCAAACACTGTTTTTGTAGAATCTGCAAGTGGAGATTTGGACCGCTTTGAGGCCTGTGGTAGTAAAGGAAAGAACTTCATATAAAAACTAGACGGTAGCACCCTCAGAAAATTCTTTGTGACGATGGAGTTTAACTCAGAGAGCTGAACATTCGTTATGATGGAGCAGTTTCCAAACACACGTTTTGTAGAATCTGCAAGGGGATATTTGGACCTCTCTGAGGATTTCGTTGGAAATGGGATCAACTTCCCATAGCTGAACGGAAGCAAACTCAGAACATTCTTTGTGATGTTTGTATTCAACTCACAGAGTTGAACCTTCCTTTGATAGTTCAGGTTTGCATCACCCTTGTAGTAGAATCTGCAAGTGTATATTTTGACCACTTTGTAGCGTTCGTTTGAAACGTCTATATCTTCACATCAAACCTAGACAGAAGCATTCTCAGAAAGTTTTCTGCGATGACTGCATTCAACTCACAGAGTTGAACAATCCTTTTGATGGAGCAGTTTTGAACCCCTCTTTCTTTGGAATCTGCAAGGGGATATGTGGACCTCTTTGAAGGTTTCACTGGAAACGGGATCATCTTCACATAAGAACTAAACAGAAGCATTCTCGGAAACTACTTGGTGATGTTTGTATTCAACTCCCAGAGTTGAACTTTCCTTTTGAAAGAGCAGCTATGAAACACTCTTTTTCGAGAATCTGCAAGTGGACGTTTGGAGGGCTTTGAGGCCTGTGGTGGAAAAGGATATATCTTCACATAAAAACTAGATAGAAGCATTCTCAGAAACGACTTTGTGAGGATGGCATTCAACTCATGGAGTTGAACAATCCTATTGATAGAGCAGATTGGAATCACTCTTTTTGTAGAATCTGCAAATGGAGATTTGGACTGCTTTGAGGCCTACGGTAGTATAGGAAGGAACTTCATATAAAAGGCAAACGGAAGCATTCTCAGAATATTCTTTGTGATGATGGAGTTTCACTCACAGAGCTGAACATGCCTTTTGATGGAGCAGTTTCCAAATACACTTTTGGTAGAATCTGCAGGTGGATATTTGGAGCTCTCTGAGGATTTCGTTGGAAACGGGAATAATTTCCCATAACTAAACACAAACACTCTGAGAAAGTTCTTCATGATGAATGCATTTAACTCGCAGAGATGAACCTGCCTTTGAGAGTTCAGGTTCGAAACACTCTTTCTGTAGAATCTGCAAGTGGATATTTGGACCACTGGGTGGCCTTCGTTCGAAACGGGTATATGTTCACAGTAAAAACTAAAGAGAAGCATTCTCAGAAACTTCTGAGTGATGATTGCATTCAAGTCACACAGTTGAACCCTCCTTTTGATGGAGCAGTTTTGAAACTGTCTTTTTGTAGAATCTGTAAGTGGATACGTGGACCTCTTTGAAGATTTCTTTGGAAACGGGAATATTTCCACAGAAAAACTAAACTTAAGCATTCTCAGAAACCGCTTTGTGATGTTTGTGTTCGAGCCACAGAGGTTAACATTGTTTTTCATAGAGCAGTTTTGAAATATTCTTTTCGCAGAATCTGCAAGTGGACATTTGGAGCGCTTTCAGGCCTGTGGTGGCAAAGGCCTGAAAGCCTTTTCCTTTATCTTCACAGAAAGACGAGAGAGAAGCATTGTCAGAAACTTCTTTGTGATGATTGCATTCAACTCACAGAGTTGAAGATTCCTTTTGAAACAGCAGTTTCGAAACACTCTTTCTGTGGGATCCGCAAGGGGATATTTGGACCTCTTTGAAGGTTTCGTTGGAAACGGGATAATCTTCACCTAAAAGCTAAACGGAAGCATTCTCAGAAACTTCTTTGGGATGTTTGCATTCACCTCACAGAGTTGAACTTTCCCTTTGATAGCGCAGCTTTGACACACTTTTTCTACAATGTGCAAGTGGCTATTTAGCGGGCTTGGAGGACTGTGTTGGAAAAGGAAATATCTTCTCCTAAAAACGACATAGAAGCATTCTCAGAAACTGCTCTGTGATGATTGCATTCAACTCCCAGAGTTGAACATTCCTTTTGATAGAGCAGTTTGCAAACACTCTTTTTGTAGAATCTGCAAGTGGAGATTTGGACCGCTTTGAGGCCTGTGGTAGTGAAGGAAAGAACTTCATATAAAAACCAGACGGTAGCACTCTCAGAAAATTCTTTGTGACGATGGAGTTTAACTCAGGGAGCTGAACATTCGTTATGATGGAGCAGTTTCCAAACACACGTTTTGTAGAATCTGCAAGGGGATATTTTGACCTCTCTGAGGATTTCGTTGGAAACGGGATCAACTTCCCATAACTGAACGGAAGCAAACTCAGAACATTCTTTGTGATGTTTGTATTCAACTCACAGAGTTGAACCTTCCTTTGATAGTTCAGGTTTGCAACACCCTTGTAGTAGAATCTGCAAGTGTATATTTTGACCACTTTGTAGCCTTCATTTGAAACGTCTATACCTTCACATCAAACCTAGACAGAAGCATTCTCAGAAAGTTTTCTGCGATGACTGCATTCAACTCACAGAGTTGAACAATCCTTCTGATGGAGCAGTTTTGAAACCCTCTTTCTTTGGAATCTGCAAGGGGATATGTGGACCTCTTTGAAGATTTCACTGGAAACGGGATCATCTTCACATAAAAACTAAACAGAAAGCATTCTCGGAAACTACTTTGTGATGTTTGTATTCAACTCCCAGAGTTGAACTTTCCTTTTGAAAGAGCAGCTATGAAACACTCTTTTTCGAGAATCTGAAAGTGGACGTTTGGAGGGCTTTGAGGCCTGTGGTGGAAAAGGAAATATCTTCACATAAAAACTAGATAGAAGCATTCTCAGAAACGACTTTGTGAGGATGGCATTCAACTCATGGAGTTGAACAATCCTATTGATAGAGCAGATTGGAATCACTCTTTTTGTAGAATCTGCAAATGGAGATTTGGACTGCTTTGAGGCCTACGGTAGTATAGGAAGGAACTTCATATAAAAGGCAAACGGAAGCATTCTCAGAATATTCTTTGTGATGATGGAGTTTCACTCACAGAGCTGAACATGCCTTTTGATGGAGCAGTTTCCAAATACACTTTTGGTAGAATCTGCAGGTGGATATTTGGAGCTCTCTGAGGATTTCGTTGGAAACGGGAATAATTTCCCATAACTAAACACAAACACTCTGAGAAAGTTCTTCATGATGAATGCATTTAACTCGCAGAGATGAACCTGCCTTTGAGAGTTCAGGTTCGAAACACTCTTTCTGTAGAATCTGCAAGTGGATATTTGGACCACTGGGTGGCCTTCGTTCGAAACGGGTATATGTTCACGTAAAAACTAAAGAGAAGCATTCTCAGAAACTTCTGAGTGATGATTGCATTCAAGTCACACAGTTGAACCCTCCTTTTGATGGAGCAGTTTTGAAACTGTCTTTTTGTAGAATCTGTAAGTGGATGCGTGGACCTCTTTGAAGATTTCTTTGGAAACGGGAATATTTCCACAGAAAAACTAAACTGAAGCATTCTCAGAAACTGCTTTGTGATGTTTGTGTTCGAGCCACAGAGTTTAACATTGCTTTTCATAGAGCAGTTTTGAAATATTCTTTTCGCAGAATCTGCAAGTGGACATTTGGAGCGCTTTCAGGCCTGTGGTGGCAAAGGCCTGAAAGCCTTTTCCTTTATCTTCACAGAAAGACGAGAGAGAAGCATTGTCAGAAACTTCTTTGTGATGATTGCATTCAACTCACAGAGTTGAAGATTCCTTTTGAAACAGCAGTTTCGAAACACTCTTTCTGTGGGATCCGCAAGGGGATATTTGGACCTCTTTGAAGGTTTCGTTGGAAACGGGATAATCTTCACCTAAAAGCTAAACGGAAGCATTCTCAGAAACTTCTTTGGGATGTTTGCATTCACCTCACAGAGTTGAACTTTCCCTTTGATAGCGCAGCTTTGACACACTTTTTCTACAATGTGCAAGTGGCTATTTAGCGGGCTTGGAGGACTGTGTTGGAAAAGGAAATATCTTCTCCTAAAAACGACATAGAAGCATTCTCAGAAACTGCTCTGTGATGATTGCATTCAACTCCCAGAGTTGAACATTCCTTTTGATAGAGCAGTTTGCAAACACTCTTTTTGTAGAATCTGCAAGTGGAGATTTGGACCGCTTTGAGGCCTGTGGTAGTGAAGGAAAGAACTTCATATAAAAACCAGACGGTAGCACTCTCAGAAAATTCTTTGTGACGATGGAGTTTAACTCAGGGAGCTGAACATTCGTTATGATGGAGCAGTTTCCAAACACACGTTTTGTAGAATCTGCAAGGGGATATTTGGACCTCTCTGAGGATTTCGTTGGAAACGGGATCAACTTCCCATAACTGAACGGAAGCAAACTCAGAACATTCTTTGTGATGTTTGTATTCAACTCACAGAGTTGAACCTTCCTTTGATAGTTCAGGTTTGCAACACCCTTGTAGTAGAATCTGCAAGTGTATATTTTGACCACTTTGTAGCCTTCGTTTGAAACGTCTATATCTTCACATCAAACCTAGAAAGAAGCATTCTCAGAAAGTTTTCTGCGATGACTGCATTCAACTCACAGAGTTGAACAATCCTTCTGATGGAGCAGTTTTGAAACCCTCTTTCTTTGGAATCTGCAAGGGGATATGTGGACCTCTTTGAAGATTTCACTGGAAACGGGATCATCTTCACATAAAAACTAAACAGAAGCATTCTCGGAAACTACTTTGTGATGTTTGTATTCAACTCCCAGAGTTGAACTTTCCTTTTGAAAGAGCAGCTATGAAACACTCTTTTTCGAGAATCTGCAAGTGGACGTTTGGAAGGCTTTGAGGCCTGTGGTGGAAAAGGAAATATCTTCACATAAAAACTAGATAGAAGCATTCTCAGAAACGACTTTGTGAGGATGGCATTCAACTCATGGAGTTGAACAATCCTATTGATAGAGCAGATTGGAATCACTCTTTTTGTAGAATCTGCAAATGGAGATTTGGACTGCTTTGAGGCCTACGGTAGTATAGGAAGGAACTTCATATAAAAGGCAAACGGAAGCATTCTCAGAATATTCTTTGTGATGATGGAGTTTCACTCACAGAGCTGAACATGCCTTTTGATGGAGCAGTTTCCAAATACACTTTTGGTAGAATCTGCAGGTGGATATTTGGAGCTCTCTGAGGATTTCGTTGGAAACGGGAATAATTTCCCATAACTAAACACAAACACGCTGAGAACGTTCTTCATGATGAATGCATTGAACTCGCAGAGATGAACCTGCCTTTGAGAGTTCAGGTTCGAAACACTCTTTCTGTAGAATCTGCAAGTGGATATTTGGACCACTGGCTGGCCTTCGTTCGAAACGGGTATATGTTCACGTAAAAACTAAAGAGAAGCATTCTCAGAAACTTCTGAGTGATGATTGCATTCAAGTCACACAGTTGAACCCTCCTTTTGCTTGAGCAGTTTTGAAACTGTCTTTTTGTAGAATCTGTAAGTGGATGCGTGGACCTCTTTGAAGATTTCTTTGGAAACGGGAATATTTCCACAGAAAAACTAAACTGAAGCATTCCCAGAAACTGCTTTGTGATGTTTGTGTTCGAGCCACAGAGTTTAACATTGCTTTTCATAGAGCAGTTTTGAAATATTCTTTTGGCAGAATCTGCAAGTGGACATTTGGTGCGCTTTCAGGCCTGTGGTGGAAAAGGCCTGAACGTCTTTTCCTTTATCTTCACAGAAAGACGAGAGAGAAGCATTGTCAGAAACTTCTTTGTGATGATTGCATTCAACTCACAGAGTTGAAGATTCCTTTTGAAACAGCAGTTTCGAAACACTCTTTCTGTGGGATCCGCAAGGGGATATTTGGACCTCTTTGAAGATTTCGTTGGAAACGGGATAATCTTCACCTAAAAGCTAAACGGAAGCATTCTCAGAAACTTCTTTGGGATGTTTGCATTCACCTCACAGAGTTGAACTTTCCCTTTGATAGCGCAGCTTCGACACACTTTTTCTACAATGTGCAAGTGGATATTTAGCGGGCTTGGAGGACTGTGTTGGAAAAGGAAATATCTTCTCCTAAAAACGACATAGAAGCATTCTCAGGAACTGCTCTGTGATGATTGCATTCAACTCCCAGAGTTGAACATTCCTTTTGATAGAGCAGTTTGCAAACACTCTTTTTGTAGAATCTGCAAGTGGAGATTTGGACCGCTTTGAGGCCTGTGGTAGTAAAGGAAAGAACTTCATATAAAAACTAGACGGTAGCACTCTCAGAAAAAACTTTGTGACGATGGAGTTTAACTCAGAGAGCTGAACATTCGTTATGATGGAGCAGTTCCCAAACACACGTTTTGCAGAATCTGCAAGGGGATATTTGGACCTCTCTGAGGATTTCGTTGGAAACGGGATCAACTTCCCATAACTGAACGGAAGCAAACTCAGAACATTCTTTGTGATGTTTGTATTCAACTCACAGAGTTGAACCTTCCTTTGATAGTTCAGGTTTGCAACACCCTTGTAGTAGAATCTGCAAGTGTATATTTTGACCACTTTGTAGCCTTCGTTTGAAACGTCTATATCTTCACATCAAACCTAGACAGAAGCATTCTCAGAAAGTTTTCTGCGATGACTGCATACAACTCATAGAGTTGAGTAATCCTTTTGATGGAGCAGTTTTGAAACCCTCTTTCTTTGGAATCTGCAAGGGGATATGTGGACCTCTTTCAAGATTTCACTGGAAACGGGATCATCTTCACATAAGAACTAAACAGAAGCATTCTCGGAAACTACTTTGTGATGTTTGTATTCAACTCCCAGAGTTGAACTTTCCTTTTGAAAGAGCAGCTATGAAACACTCTTTTTCGAGAATCTGCAAGTGGACGTTTGGAGGGCTTTGAGGCCTGTGGTGGAAAAGGAAATATCTTCACATAAAAACTAGATAGAAGCATTCTCAGAAACGACTTTGTGAGGATGGCATTCAACTCATGGAGTTGAACAATCCTATTGATAGAGCAGATTGGAATCACTCTTTTTGTAGAATCTGCAAAGGGAGATTTGGACTGCTTTGAGGCCTACGGTAGTATAGGAAGGAACTTCATATAAAAGGCAAACGGACGCATTCTCAGAATATTCTTTGTGATGATGGAGTTTCACTCACAGAGCTGAACATGCCTTTTGATGGAGCAGTTTCCAAATACACTTTTGGTAGAATCTGCAGGTGGATATTTGGACCTGTCGGAGGATTTCGTTGGAAACGGGAATAATTTCCCATAACTAAACACAAACACTCTGAGAAAGTTCTTCATGATGAATGCATTTAACTCGCAGAGATGAACCTGCCTTTGAGAGTTCAGGTTCGAAACACTCTTTCTGTAGAATCTGCAAGTGGATATTTGGACCACTGGCTGGCCTTCGTTCGAAACGGGTATATGTTCACGTAAAAACTAAAGAGAAGCATTCTCAGAAACTTCTGAGTGATGACTGCATTCAAGTCACACAGTTGAACCCTCCTTTTGATGGAGCAGTTTTGAAACTGTCTTTTTGTAGAATCTGTAAGTGGATACGTGGACCTCTTTGAAGATTTCTTTGGAAACGGGAATATTTCCACAGAAAAACTAAACTGAAGCATTCTCAGAAACTGCTTTGTGATGTTTGTGTTCGAGCCACAGAGTTTAACATTGCTTTTCATAGAGCAGTTTTGAAATATTCTTTTGGCAGAATCTGCAAGTGGACATTTGGAGCGCTTTCAGGCCTGTGGTGGAAAAGGCCTGAAAGCCTTTTCCTTTATCTTCACAGAAAGACGAGAGAGAAGCATTGTCAGAAACTTCTTTGTGATGATTGCATTCAACTCACAGAGTTGAAGATTCCTTTTGAAACAGCAGTTTCGAAACACTCTTTCTGTGGGATCCGCAAGGGGATATTTGGACCTACTTTGAAGGTTTCGTTGGAAACGGGATAATCTTCACCTAAAAGCTAAACGGAAGCATTCTCAGCAAACTTCTTTGGGATGTTTGCATTCACCTCACAGAGTTGAACTTTCCCTTTGATAGCGCAGCTTTGACACACTTTTTCTACAATGTGCAAGTGGCTATTTAGCGGGCTTGGAGGACTGTGTTGGAAAAGGAAATATCTTCTCCTAAAAACGACATAGAAGCATTCTCAGAAACTGCTCTGTGATGATTGCATTCAACTCCCAGAGTTGAACATTCCTTTTGATAGAGCAGTTTGCAAACACTCTTTTTGTAGAATCTGCAAGTGGAGATTTGGACCGCTTTGAGGCCAGTGGTAGTGAAGGAAAGAACTTCATATAAAAACCAGACGGTAGCACTCTCAGAAAATTCTTTGTGACGATGGAGTTTAACTCAGGGAGCTGAACATTCGTTATGATGGAGCAGTTTCCAAACACACGTTTTGTAGAATCTGCAAGGGGATATTTGGACCTCTCTGAGGATTTCGTTGGAAACGGGATCAACTTCCCATAACTGAACGGAAGCAAACTCAGAACATTCTTTGTGATGTTTGTATTCAACTCACAGAGTTGAACCTTCCTTTGATAGTTCAGGTTTGCAACACCCTTGTAGTAGAATCTGCAAGTGTATATTTTGACCACTTTGTAGCCTTCATTTGAAACGTCTATATCTTCACATCAAACCTAGACAGAAGCATTCTCAGAAAGTTTTCTGCGATGACTGCATTCAACTCACAGAGTTGAACAATCCTCTGATGGAGCAGTTTTGAAACCCTCTTTCTTTGGAATCTGCAAGGGGATATGTGGACCTCTTTGAAGATTTCACTGGAAACGGGATCATCTTCACATAAAAACTAAACAGAAGCATTCTCGGAAACTATTTTGTGATGTTTGTATTCAACTCCCAGAGTTGAACTTTCCTTTTGAAAGAGCAGCTATGAAACACTCTTTTTCGAGAATCTGCAAGTGGACGTTTGGAGGGCTTTGAGGCCTGTGGTGGAAAAGGAAATATCTTCACACAAAAACCAGATAGAAGCATTCTCAGAAACTACTTTGTGAGGATGGCATTCAACTCATGGAGTTGAACAATCCTATTGATAGAGCAGATTGGAATCACTCTTTTTATAGAATCTGCAAATGGAGATTTGGACTGCTTTGAGGCCTACGGTAGTACAGGAAGGAACTTCATATAAAAGGCAAACGGAAGCATTCTCAGAATATTCTTTGTGATGATGGAGTTTCACTCACAGAGCTGAACATGCCTTTTGATGGAGCAGTTTCCAAATACACTTTTGGTAGAATCTGCAGGTGGATATTTGGAGCTCTCTGAGGATTTCGTTGGAAACGGGAATAATTTCCCATAACTAAACACAAACACTCTGAGAAAGTTCTTCATGATGAATGCATTTAACTCGCAGAGATGAACCTGCCTTTGAGAGTTCAGGTTCGAAACACTCTTTCTGTAGAATCTGCAAGTGGATATTTGGACCACTGGGTGGCCTTCGTTCGAAACGGGTATATGTTCACCTAAAAACTAAAGAGAAGCATTCTCAGAAACTTCTGAGTGATGATTGCATTCAAGTCACACAGTTGAACCCTCCTTTTGATGGAGCAGTTTTGAAACTGTCTTTTTGTAGAATCTGTAAGTGGATACGTGGACCTCTTTGAAGATTTCTTTGGAAACGGGAATATTTCCACAGAAAAACTAAACTGAAGCATTCTCAGAAACTGCTTTGTGATGTTTGTGTTCGAGCCACAGAGTTTAACATTGCTTTTCATAGAGCAGTTTTGAAATATTCTTTTGGCAGAATCTGCAAGTGGACATTTGGAGCGCTTTCAGGCCTGTGGTGGAAAAGGCCTGAAAGCCTTTTCCTTTATCTTCACAGAAAGACGAGAGAGAAGCATTGTCAGAAACTTCTTTGTGATGATTGCATTCAACTCACAGAGTTGAAGATTCCTTTTGAAACAGCAGTTTCGAAACACTCTTTCTGTGGGATCCGCAAGGGGATATTTGGACCTCTTTGAAGGTTTCGTTGGAAACGGGATAATCTTCACCTAAAAGCTAAACGGAAGCATTCTCAGAAACTTCTTTGGGATGTTTGCATTCACCTCACAGAGTTGAACTTTCCCTTTGATAGCGCAGCTTTGACACACTTTTTCTACAATGTGCAAGTGGCTATTTAGCGGGCTTGGAGGACTGTGTTGGAAAAGGAAATATCTTCTCCTAAAAACGACATAGAAGCATTCTCAGAAACTGCTCTGTGATGATTGCATTCAACTCCCAGAGTTGAACATTCCTTTGGATAGAGCAGTTTGCAAACACTCTTTTTGTAGAATCTGCAAGTGGAGATTTGGACCGCTTTGAGGCCTGTGGTAGTGAAGGAAAGAACTTCATATAAAAACCAGACGGTAGCACTCTCAGAAAATTCTTTGTGACGATGGAGTTTAACTCAGGGAGCTGAACATTCGTTATGATGGAGCAGTTTCCAAACACACGTTTTGTAGAATCTGCGAGGGGATATTTGGACCTCTCTGAGGATTTCGTTGGAAACGGGATCAACTTCCCATAACTGAACGGAAGCAAACTCAGAACATTCTTTGTTATGTTTGTATTCAACTCACAGAGTTGAACCTTCCTTTGATAGTTCAGGTTTGCAAAACCCTTGTAGTAGAATCTGCAAGTGTATATTTTGACCACTTTGTAGCCTTCGTTTGAAACGTCTATATCTTCACATCAAACCTAGACAGAAGCATTCTCAGAAAGTTTTCTGCGATGACTGCATTCAACTCACAGAGTTGAACAATCCTTTTGATGGAGCAGTTTTGAAACCCTCTTTCTTTGGAATCTGCAAGGGGATATGTGGACCTCTATGAAGATTTCACTGGAAACGGGATCATCTTCACATAAAAACTAAACAGAAGCATTCTCGGAAACTATTTTGTGATGTTTGTATTCAACTCCCAGAGTTGAACTTTCCTTTTGAAAGAGCAGCTATGAAACACTCTTTTTCGAGAATCTGCAAGTGGACGTTTGGAGGGCTTTGAGGCCTGTGGTGGAAAAGGAAATATCTTCACACAAAAACCAGATAGAAGCATTCTCAGAAACTACTTTGTGAGGATGGCATTCAACTCATGGAGTTGAACAATCCTATTGATAGAGCAGATTGGAATCACTCTTTTTGTAGAATCTGCAAATGGAGATTTGGACTGCTTTGAGGCCTACAGTAGTACAGGAAGGAACTTCATATAAAAGGCAAACGGAAGCATTCTCAGAATATTCTTTGTGATGATGGAGTTTCACTCACAGAGCTGAACATGCCTTTTGATGGAGCAGTTTCCAAATACACTTTTGGTAGAATCTGCAGGTGGATATTTGGAGCTCTCTGAGGATTTCGTTGGAAACGGGAATAATTTCCCATAACTAAACACAAACACTCTGAGAAAGTTCTTCATGATGAATGCATTTAACTCGCAGAGATGAACCTGCCTTTGAGAGTTCAGGTTCGAAACACTCTTTCTGTAGAATCTGCAAGTGGATATTTGGACCACTGGGTGGCTTCGTTCGAAACGGGTATATGTTCACGTAAAAACTAAAGAGAAGCATTCTCAGCAAACTTCTGAGTGATGATTGCATTCAAGTCACACAGTTGAACCCTCCTTTTGATTGAGCAGTTTTGAAACTGTCTTTTTGTAGAATCTGTAAGTGGATACGTGGACCTCTTTGAAGATTTCTTTGGAAACGGGAATATTTCCACAGAAAAACTAAACTGAAGCATTCTCAGAAACTGCTTTGTGATGTTTGTGTTCGAGCCACAGAGTTTAACATTGCTTTTCATAGAGCAGTTTTGAAATATTCTTTTGGCAGAATCTGCAAGTGGACATTTGGAGTGCTTTCAGGCCTGTGGTGGAAAAGGCCTGAAAGCCTTTTCCTTTATCTTCACAGAAAGACGAGAGAGAAGCATTGTCAGAAACATCTTTGTGATGATTGCATTCAACTCACAGAGTTGAAGATTCCTTTTGAAACAGCAGTTTCGAAACACTCTTTCTGTGGGATCCGCAAGGGGATATTTGGACCTCTTCGAAGGTTTCGTTGGAAACGGGATAATCTTCACCTAAAAGCTAAACGGAAGCATTCTCAGAAACTTCTTTGGGATGTTTGCATTCACCTCACAGAGTTGAACTTTCCCTTTGATAGCGCAGCTTCGACACACTTTTTCTACAATGTGCAAGTGGATATTTAGCGGGCTTGGAGGACTGTGTTGGAAAAGGAAATATCTTCTCCTAAAAACGACATAGAAGCATTCTCAGAAACTGCTCTGTGATGATTGCATTCAACTCCCAGAGTTGAACATTCCTTTTGATAGAGCAGTTTGCAAACACTCTTTTTGTAGAATCTGCAAGTGGAGATTTGGACCGCTTTGAGGCCTGTGGTAGTAAAGGAAAGAACTTCATATAAAAACCAGACGGTAGCACTCTCAGAAAATTCTTTGTGACGATGGAGTTTAACTCAGAGAGCTGAACATTCGTTATGATGGAGCAGTTTCCAAACACACGTTTTGTAGAATCTGCAAGGGGATATTTGGACCTCTCTGAGGATTTCGTTGGAAACGGGATCAACTTCCCATAACTGAACGGAAGCAAACTCAGAACATTCTTTGTGATGTTTGTATTCAACTCACAGAGTTGAACCTTCCTTTGATAGTTGAGGTTTGCAACACCCTTGTAGTAGAATCTGCAAGTGTATATTTTGACCACTTTGTAGCCTTCGTTTGAAACGTCTATATCTTCACCTCAAACCTAGACAGAAGCATTCTCAGAAAGTTTTCTGCGATGACTGCATTCAACTCACAGAGTTGAACAATCCTTTTGATGGAGCAGTTTTGAAACCCTCTTTCTTTGGAATCTGCAAGGGGATATGTGGACCTCTTTGAAGATTTCACTGGAAACGGGATCATCTTCACATAAGAACTAAACAGAAGCATTCTCGGAAACTACTTTGTGATGTTTGTATTCAACTCCCAGAGTTGAACTTTCCTTTCGAAAGAGCAGCTATGAAACACTCTTTTTCGAGAATCTGCAAGTGGACGTTTGGAGGGCTTTGAGGCCTGTGGTGGAAAAGGAAATATCTTCACATAAAAACTAGATAGAAGCATTCTCACAAACGACTTTGTGAGGATGGCATTCAACTCATGGAGTTGAACAATCCTATTGATAGAGCAGATTGGAATCACTCTTTTTGTAGAATCTGCAAATGGAGATTTGGACTGCTTTGAGGCCTACGGTAGTATAGGAAGGAACTTCATATAAAAGGCAAACGGAAGCATTCTCAGAATATTCTTTGTGATGATGGAGTTTCACTCACAGAGCTGAACATGCCTTTTGATGGAGCAGTTTCCAAATACACTTTTGGTAGAATCTGCAGGTGGATATTTGGACCTCTCTGAGGATTTCGTTGGAAACGGGAATAATTTCCCATACCTAAACACAAACACTCTGAGAAAGTTCTTCATGATGAATGCATTGAACTCGCAGAGATGAACCTGCCTTTGAGAGTTCAGGTTCGAAACACTCTTTCTGTAGAATCTGCAAGTGGATATTTGGACCACTGGGTGGCCTTCGTTCGAAACGGGTATATGTTCACGTAAGAACTAAAGAGAAGCATTCTCAGAAACTTCTGAGTGATGATTGCATTCAAGTCACACAGTTGAACCCTCCTTTTGATGGAGCAGTTTTGAAACTGTCTTTTTGTAGAATCTGTAAGTGGATACGTGGACCTCTTTGAAGATTTCTTTGGAAACGGGAATATTTCCACAGAAAAACTAAACTGAAGCATTCTCAGAAACCGCTTTGTGATGTTTGTGTTCGAGCCGCAGAGTTTAACATTGCTTTTCATAGAGCAGTTTTGAAATATTCTTTTGGCAGAATCTGCAAGTGGACATTTGGAACGCTTTGAGGCCTGTGGTGGCAAAGGCCTGAAAGCCTTTTCCTTTATCTTCACAGAAAGACGAGAGAGAAGCATTGTCAGAAACTTCTTTGTGATGATTGCATTCAACTCACAGAGTTGAAGATTCCTTTTGAAACAGCAGTTTCGAAACACTCTTTCTGTGGGATCCGCAAGGGGATATTTGGACCTCTTTGAAGGTTTCGTTGGAAACGGGATAATCTTCACCTAAAAGCTAAACGGAAGTATTCTCAGAAACTTCTTTGGGATGTTTGCATTCACCTCACAGAGTTGAACTTTCCCTTTGATAGCGCAGCTTTGACACACTTTTTCTACAATGTGCAAGTGGCTATTTAGCGGGCTTGGAGGACTGTGTTGGAAAAGGAAATATCTTCTCCTAAAAACGACATAGAAGCATTCTCAGAAACTGCTCTGTGATGATTGCTTTCAACTCCCAGAGTTGAACATTCCTTTTGATAGAGCAGTTTGCAAACACTCTTTTTGTAGAATATGCAAGTGGAGATTTGGACCGCTTTGAGGCCTGTGGTAGTAAAGGAAAGAACTTCATATAAAAACTAGACGGTAGCACTCTCAGAAAATTCTTTGTGACGATGGAGTTTAACTCAGAGAGCTGAACATTCGTTATGATGGAGCAGTTTCCAAACACACGTTTTGTAGAATCTGCAAGGGGATATTTGGACCTCTCTGAGGATTTCGTTGGAAACGGTATCAATTTCCCATAACTGAACGGAAGCAAACTCAGAACATTCTTTGTGATGGTTGCATTCATCTCACAGAGTTGAACCTTCCTTTGATAGTTGAGGTTTGCATCACCCTTGTAGTAGAATCTGCAAGTGTATATTTTGACCACTTTGTAGCCTTCGTTTGAAACGTCTATATCTTCACATCAAACCGAGACAGAAGCATTCTCAGAAAGTTTTCTGCGATGACTGCATTCAACTCACAGAGTTGAACAATCCTTTTGATGGAGCAGTTTTGAAACCCTCTTTCTTTGGAATCTGCAAGGGGATATATGGACCTCTTTGAAGATTTCACTGGAAACGGGATCATCTTCACATAAGAACTAAACAGAAGCATTCTCGGAAACTACTTTGTGATGTTTGTATTCAACTCCCAGAGTTGAACTTTCCTTTTGAAAGAGCAGCTATGAAACACTCTTTTTCGAGAATCTGCAAGTGGACGTTTGGAGGGCTTTGAGGCCTGTGGTGGAAAAGGAAATATCTTCACATAAAAACTAGATAGAAGCATTCTCAGAAACTACTTTGTGAGGATGGCATTCAACTCATGGAGTTGAACAATCCTATTGATAGAGCAGATTGGAATCACTCTTTTTGTAGAATCTGCAAATGGAGATTTGGACTGCTTTGAGGCCTACAGTCGTATAGGAAGGAACTTCATATAAAAGGCAAACGGAAGCATTCTCAGAATATTCTTTGTGATGATGGAGTTTCACTCACAGAGCTGAACATGCCTTTTGATGGAGCAGTTTCCAAATACACTTTTGGTAGAATCTGCAGGTGGATATTTGGAGCTCTCTGAGGATTTCGTTGGAAACGGGAATAATTTCCCATAACTAAACACAAACACGCTGAGAAAGTTCTTCATGATGAATGCATTGAACTCGCAGAGATGAACCTGCCTTTGAGAGTTCAGGTTCGAAACACTCTTTCTGTAGAATCTGCAAGTGGATATTTGGACCACTGGCTGGCCTTCGTTCGAAACGGGTATATGTTCACGTAAAAACTAAAGAGAAGCATTCTCAGAAACTTCTGAGTGATGATTGCATTCAAGTCACACAGTTGAACCCTCCTTTTGATTGAGCAGTTTTGAAACTGTCTTTTTGTAGAATCTGTAAGTGGATGCGTGGACCTCTTTGAAGATTTCTTTGGAAACGGGAATATTTCCACAGAAAAACTAAACTGAAGCATTCTCAGAAACGGCTTTGTGATGTTTGTGTTCGAGCCACAGAGTTTAACATTGCTTTTCATAGAGCAGTTTTGAAATATTCTTTTGGCAGAATCTGCAAGTGGACATTTGGAGCACGTTCAGGCCTGTGGTGGAAAAGGCCTGAAAGCCTTTTCCTTTACCTTCACAGAAAGACGAGAGAGAAGCATTGTCAGAAACTTCTTTGTGATGATTGCATTCAACTCACAGAGTTGAAGATTCCTTTTGAAACAGCAGTTTCGAAACACTCTTTCTGTGGGATCCGCAGGGGGATATTTGGACCTCTTTGAAGATTTCGTTGGAAACGGGATAATCTTCACCTAAAAGCTAAACGGAAGTATTCTCAGAAACTTCTTTGGGATGTTTGCATTCACCTCACAGAGTTGAACTTTCCCTTTGATAGCGCAGCTTCGACACACTTTTTCTACAATGTGCAAGTGGATATTTAGCGGGCTTGGAGGACTGTGTTGGAAACGGAAATATCTTCTCCTAAAAACGACATAGAAGCATTCTCAGAAACTGCTCTGTGATGATTGCTTTCAACTCCCAGAGTTGAACATTCCTTTTGATAGAGCAGTTTGCAAACACTCTTTTTGTAGAATCTGCAAGTGGAGATTTGGACCGCTTTGAGGCCTGTGGTAGTAAAGGAAAGAACTTCATATAAAAACTAGACGGTAGCACTCTCAGAAAATTCTTTGTGACGATGGAGTTTAACTCAGAGAGCTGAACATTCGTTATGATGGAGCAGTTTCCAAACACACGTTTTGTAGAATCTGCAAGGGGATATTTGGACCTCTCTGAGGATTTCGTTGGAAACGGTATCAATTTCCCATAACTGAACGGAAGCAAACTCAGAACATTTTTTGTGATGGTTGCATTCATCTCACAGAGTTGAACCTTCCTTTGATAGTTGAGGTTTGCATCACCCTTGTAGTAGAATCTGCAAGTGTATATTTTGACCACTTTGTAGCCTTCGTTTGAAACGTCTATATCTTCACATCAAACCTAGACAGAAGCATTCTCAGAAAGTTTTCTGCGATGACTGCATTCAACTCACAGAGTTGAACAATCCTTTTGATGGAGCAGTTTTGAAACCCTCTTTCTTTGGAATCTGCAAGGGGATATGTGGACCTCTTTGAAGATTTCACTGGAAACGGGATCATCTTCACATAAGAACTAAACAGAAGCATTCTCGGAAACTACTTTGTGATGTTTGTATTCAACTCCCAGAGTTGAACTTTCCTTTTGAAAGAGCAGCTATGAAACACTCTTTTTCGAGAATCTGCAAGTGGACGTTTGGAGGGCTTTGAGGCCTGTGGTGGAAAAGGAAATATCTTCACATAAAAACTAGATAGAAGCATTCTCAGAAACGACTTTGTGAGGATGGCATTCAACTCATGGAGTTGAACAATCCTATTGATAGAGCAGATTGGAATCACTCTTTTTGTAGAATCTGCAAATGGAGATTTGGACTGCTTTGAGGCCTACGGTAGTACAGGAAGGAACTTCATATAAAAGGCAAACGGAAGCATTCTCAGAATATTCTTTGTGATGATGGAGTTTCACTGACAGAGCTGAACATGCCTTTTGATGGAGCAGTTTCCAAATACACTTTTGGTAGAATCTGCAGGTGGATATTTGGAGCTCTCTGAGGATTTCGTTGGAAACGGGAATAATTTCCCATAACTAAACACAAACACTCTGAGAAAGTTCTTCATGATGAATGCATTTAACTCGCAGAGATGAACCTGCCTTTGAGAGTTCAGGTTCGAAACACTCTTTCTGTATAATCTGCAAGTGGATATTTGGACCACTGGGTGGCCTTCGTTCGAAACGGGTATATGTTCACGTAAAAACTAAAGAGAAGCATTCTCAGAAACTTCTGAGTGATGATTGCATTCAAGTCACACAGTTGAACCCTCCTTTTGATGGAGCAGTTTTGAAACTGTCTTTTTGTAGAATCTGTAAGTGGATACGTGGACCTCTTTGAAGATTTCTTTGGAAACGGGAATATTTCCACAGAAAAACTAAACTGAAACATTCTCAGAAACCGCTTTGTGATGTTTGTGTTCCAGCCACAGAGTTTAACATTGCTTTTCATAGAGCAGTTTTGAAATATTCTTTTCGCAGAATCTGCAAGTGGACATTTGGAGCGCTTTCAGGCCTGTGGGTGGAAAAGGCCTGAAAGCCTTTTCCTTTATCTTCACAGAAAGACGAGAGAGAAGCATTGTCAGAAACTTCTTTGTGATGATTGCATTCAACTCACAGAGTTGAAGATTCCTTTTGAAACAACAGTTTCGAAACACTCTTTCTGTGGGATCCGCAAGGTGATATTTGGACCTCTTTGAAGGTTTCATTGGAAACGGGATAATCTTCACCTAAAAGCTAAACGGAAGCATTCTCAGAAACTTCTTTGGGATGTTTGCATTCACCTCACAGAGTTGAACTTTCCCTTTGATAGCGCAGCTTTGACACACTTTTTCTACAATGTGCAAGTGGCTATTTAGCGGGCTTGGAGGACTGTGTTGGAAAAGGAAATATCTTCTCCTAAAAACGACATAGAAGCATTCTCAGAAACTGCTCTGTGATGATTGCATTCAACTCCCAGAGTTGAACATTCCTTTTGATAGAGCAGTTTGCAAACACTCTTTTTGTAGAATCTGCAAGTGGAGATTTGGACCGCTTTGAGGCCTGTGGTAGTAAAGGAAAGAACTTCATATAAAAACCAGACGGTAGCACTCTCAGAAAATTCTTTGTGACGATGGAGTTTAACTCAGAGAGCTGAACATTCGTTATGATGGAGCAGTTTCCAAACACACGTTTTGTAGAATCTGCAAGGGGATATTCGGACCTCTCTGAGGATTTCGTTGGAAACGGGATCAACGTCCCATAACTGAACGGAAGCAAACTCAGAACATTCTTTGTGATGTTTGTATTCAACTCACAGAGTTGAACCTTCCTTTGATAGTTCAGGTTTGCAACACCCTTGTAGTAGAATCTGCAAGTGTATATTTTGACCACTTTGTAGCCTTCGTTTGAAACGTCTATATCTTCACATCAAACCTAGACAGAAGCATTCTCAGAAAGTTTTCTGCGATGACTGCATTCAACTCACAGAGTTGAACAATCCTTTTGATGGAGCAGTTTTGAAACCCTCTTTCTTTGGAATCTGCAAGGGGATATGTGGACCTCTTTGAAGATTTCACTGGAAACGGGATCATCTTCACATAAAAACTAAACAGAAGCATTCTCGGAAACTATTTTGTGATGTTTGTATTCAACTCCCAGAGTTGAACTTTCCTTTTGAAAGAGCAGCTATGAAACACTCTTTTTCGAGAATCTGCAAGTGGACGTTTGGAGGGCTTTGAGGCCTGTGGTGGAAAAGGAAATATCTTCACACAAAAACCAGATAGAAGCATTCTCAGAAACGACTTTGTGAGGATGGCATTCAACTCATGGAGTTGAACAATCCTATTGATAGAGCAGATTGGAATCACTCTTTTTGTAGAATCTGCAAATGGAGATTTGGACTGCTTTGAGGCCTACGGTAGTACAGGAAGGAACTTCATATAAAAGGCAAACGGAAGCATTCTCAGAATATTCTTTGTGATGATGGAGTTTCACTGACAGAGCTGAACATGCCTTTTGATGGAGCAGTTTCCAAATACACTTTTGGTAGAATCTGCAGGTGGATATTTGGAGCTCTCTGAGGATTTCGTTGGAAACGGGAATAATTTCCCATAACTAAACACAAACACTCTGAGAAAGTTCTTCATGATGAATGCATTTAACTCGCAGAGATGAACCTGCCTTTGAGAGTTCAGGTTCGAAACACTCTTTCTGTAGAATCTGCAAGTGGATATTTGGACCACTGGGTGGCCTTCGTTCGAAACGGGTATATGTTCACGTAAAAACTAAAGAGAAGCATTCTCAGAAACTTCTGAGTGATGATTGCATTCAAGTCACACAGTTGAACCCTCCTTTTGATGGAGCAGTTTTGAAACTGTCTTTTTGTAGAATCTGTAAGTGGATACGTGGACCTCTTTGAAGATTTCTTTGGAAACGGGAATATTTCCACAGAAAAACTAAACTGAAGCATTCTCAGAAACTGCTTTGTGATGTTTGTGTTCGAGCCACAGAGTTTAACATTGCTTTTCATAGAGCAGTTTTGAAATATTCTTTTCACAGAATCTGCAAGTGGACATTTGGAGCGCTTTCAGGCCTGTGGTGGAAAAGGCCTGAAAGCCTTTTCCTTTATCTTCACAGAAAGACGAGAGAGAAGCATTGTCAGAAACTTCTTTGTGATGATTGCATTCAACTCACAGAGTTGAAGATTCCTTTTGAAACAGCAGTTTCGAAACACTCTTTCTGTGGGATCCGCAAGGGGATATTTGGACCTCTTTGAAGGTTTCGTTGGAAACGGGATAATCTTCACCTAAAAGCTAAACGGAAGCATTCTCAGAAACTTCTTTGGGATGTTTGCATTCACCTGACAGAGTTGAACTTTCCCTTTGATAGCGCAGCTTTGACACACTTTTTCTACAATGTGCAAGTGGCTATTTAGCGGGCTTGGAGGACTGTGTTGGAAAAGGAAATATCTTCTCCTAAAAACGACATAGAAGCATTCTCAGAAACTGCTCTGTGATGATTGCATTCAACTCCCAGAGTTGAACATTCCTTTTGATAGAGCAGTTTGCAAACACTCTTTTTGTAGAATCTGCAAGTGGAGATTTGGACCGCTTTGAGGCCTGTGGTAGTGAAGGAAAGAACTTCATATAAAAACCAGACGGTAGCACTCTCAGAAAATTCTTTGTGACGATGGAGTTTAACTCAGGGAGCTGAACATTCGTTATGATGGAGCAGTTTCCAAACACACGTTTTGTAGAATCTGCGAGGGGATATTTTGACCTCTCTGAGGATTTCATTGGAAACGGGATCAACTTCCCATAACTGAACGGAAGCAAACTCAGAACATTCTTTGTGATGTTTGTATTCAACTCACAGAGTTCAACCTTCCTTTGATAGTTCAGGTTTGCAACACCCTTGTAGTAGAATCTGCAAGTGTATATTTTGACCACTTTGTAGCCTTCGTTTGAAACGTCTATATCTTCACATCAAACCTAGACAGAAGCATTCTCAGAAAGTTTTCTGCGATGACTGCATTCAACTCACAGAGTTGAACAATCCTTCTGATGGAGCAGTTTTGAAACCCTCTTTCTTTGGAATCTGCAAGGGGATATGTGGACCTCTTTGAAGATTTCACTGGAAACGGGATCATCTTCACATAAAAACTAAACAGAAGCATTCTCGGAAACTACTTTGTGATGTTTGTATTCAACTCAAAGAGTTGAACTTTCCTTTTGAAAGAGCAGCTATGAAACACTCTTTTTCGAGAATCTGCAAGTGGACGTTTGGAGGGCTTTGAGGCCTGTGGTGGAAAAGGAAACATCTTCACACAAAAACCAGATAGAAGCATTCTCAGAAACTACTTTGTGAGGATGGCATTCAACTCATGGAGTTGAACAATCCTATTGATAGAGCAGATTGGAATCACTCTTTTTATAGAATCTGCAAATGGAGATTTGGACTGCTTTGAGGCCTACGGTAGTACAGGAAGGAACTTCATATAAAAGGCAAACGGGAAGCATTCTCAGAATATTCTTTGTGATGATGGAGTTTCACTCACAGAGCTGAACATGCCTTTTGATGGAGCAGTTTCCAAATACACTTTTGGTAGAATCTGCAGGTGGATATTTGGAGCTCTCTGAGGATTTCTTTGGAAACGGGAATAATTTCCCATAACTAAACACAAACACTCTGAGAAAGTTCTTCATGATGAATGCATTTAACTCGCAGAGATGAACCTGCCTTTGAGAGTTCAGGTTCGAAACACTCTTTCTGTATAATCTGCAAGTGGATATTTGGACCACTGGGTGGCCTTCGTTCGAAACGGGTATATGTTCACGTAAAAACTAAAGAGAAGCATTCTCAGAAACTTCTGAGTGATGATTGCATTCAAGTCACACAGTTGAACCCTCCTTTTGATGGAGCAGTTTTGAAACTGTCTTTTTGTAGAATCTGTAAGTGGATACGTGGACCTCTTTGAAGATTTCTTTGGAAACGGGAATATTTCCACAGAAAAACTAAACTGAAGCATTCTCAGAAACTGCTTTGTGATGTTTGTGTTCGAGCCACAGAGTTTAACATTGCTTTTCATAGAGCAGTTTTGAAATATTCTTTTCGCAGAATCTGCAAGTGGACATTTGGAGCGCTTTCAGGCCTGTGGTGGCAAAGGCCTGAAAGCCTTTTCCTTTATCTTCACAGAAAGACGAGAGAGAAGCATTGTCAGAAACTTCTTTGTGATGATTGCATTCAACTCACAGAGTTGAAGATTCCTTTTGAAACAGCAGTTTCGAAACACTCTTTCTGTGGGATCCGCAAGGGGATATTTGGACCTCTTTGAAGGTTTCGTTGGAAACGGGATAATCTTCACCTAAAAGCTAAACGGAAGCATTCTCAGAAACTTCTTTGGGATGTTTGCATTCACCTCACAGAGTTGAACTTTCCCTTTGATAGCGCAGCTTTGACACACTTTTTCTACAATGTGCAAGTGGCTATTTAGCGGGCTTGGAGGACTGTGTTGGAAAAGGAAATATCTTCTCCTAAAAACGACATAGAAGCATTCTCAGAAACTGCTCTGTGATGATTGCATTCAACTCCCAGAGTTGAACATTCCTTTTGATAGAGCAGTTTGCAAACACTCTTTTTGTAGAATCTGCAAGTGGAGATTTGGACCGCTTTGAGGCCTGTGGTAGTGAAGGAAAGAACTTCATATAAAAACCAGACGGTAGCACTCTCAGAAAATTCTTTGTGACGATGGAGTTTAACTCAGGGAGCTGAACATTCGTTATGATGGAGCAGTTTCCAAACACACGTTTTGTAGAATCTGCGAGGGGATATTTGGACCTCTCTGAGGATTTCGTTGGAAACGGGATCAACTTCCCATAACTGAACGGAAGCAAACTCAGAACATTCTTTGTGATGTTTGTATTCAACTCACAGAGTTGAACCTTCCTTTGATAGTTCAGGTTTGCAACACCCTTGTAGTAGAATCTGCAAGTGTATATTTTGACCACTTTGTAGCCTTCGTTTGAAACGTCTATATCTTCACATCAAACCTAGACAGAAGCATTCTCAGAAAGTTTTCTGCGATGACTGCATTCAACTCACAGAGTTGAACAATCCTTCTGATGGAGCAGTTTTGAAACCCTCTTTCTTTGGAATCTGCAAGGGGATATGTGGACCTCTTTGAAGATTTCACTGGAAACGGGATCATCTTCACATAAAAACTAAACAGAAGCATTCTCGGAAACTACTTTGTGATGTTTGTATTCAACTCCCAGAGTTGAACTTTCCTTTTGAAAGAGCAGCTATGAAACACTCCTTTTCGAGAATCTGCAAGTGGACGTTTGGAGGGCTTTGAGGCCTGTGGTGGAAAAGGAAATATCTTCACATAAAAACTAGATAGAAGCATTCTCAGAAACTACTTTGTGAGGATGGCATTCAACTCACGGAGTTGAACAATCCTATTGATAGAGCAGATTGGAAACACTCTTTTTGTAGAATCTGTAAATGGAGATTTGGACTGCTTTGAGGCCTACGGTAGTATAGGAAGGAACTTCATATAAAAAGCAAACGGAAGCATTCTCAGAATATTCTTTGTGATGATGGAGTTTCACTCACAGAGCTGAACATGCCTTTTGATGGAGCAGTTTCCAAATACACTTTTGGTAGAATCTGCAGGTGGATATTTGGAGCTCTCTGAGGATTTCGTTGGAAACGGGAATAATTTCCCATAACTAAACACAAACACTCTGAGAAAGTTCTTCATGATGAATGCATTTAACTCGCAGAGATGAACCTGCCTTTGAGAGTTCAGGTTCGAAACACTCTTTCTGTATAATCTGCAAGTGGATATTTGGACCACTGGGTGGCCTTCGTTCGAAACGGGTATATGTTCACGTAAAAACTAAAGAGAAGCATTCTCAGAAACTTCTGAGTGATGATTGCATTCAAGTCACACGGTTGAACCCTCCTTTTGATGGAGCAGTTTTGAAACTGTCTTTTTGTAGAATCTGTAAGTGGATACGTGGACCTCTTTGAAGATTTCTTTGGAAACGGGAATATTTCCACAGAAAAACTAAACTGAAGCATTCTCAGAAACCGCTTTGTGATGTTTGTGTTCGAGCCACAGAGTTTAACATTGCTTTTCATAGAGCAGTTTTGAAATATTCTTTTCGCAGAATCTGCAAGTGGACATTTGGAGCGCTTTCAGGCCTGTGGTGGAAAAGGCCTGAAAGCCTTTTCCTTTATCTTCACAGAAAGACGAGAGAGAAGCATTGTCAGAAACTTCTTTGTGATGATTGCATTCAACTCACAGAGTTGAAGATTCCTTTTGAAACAGCAGTTTCGAAACACTCTTTCTGTGGGATCCGCAAGGGGATATTTGGACCTCTTTGAAGGTTTCGTTGGAAACGGGATAATCTTCACCTAAAAGCTAAACGGAAGCATTCTCAGAAACTTCTTTGGGATGTTTGCATTCACCTCACAGAGTTGAACTTTCCCTTTGATAGCGCAGCTTTGACACACTTTTTCTACAATGTGCAAGTGGCTATTTAGCGGGCTTGGAGGACTGTGTTGGAAAAGGAAATATCTTCTCCTAAAAACGACATAGAAGCATTCTCAGAAACTGCTCTGTGATGATTGCATTCAACTCCCAGAGTTGAACATTCCTTTTGATAGAGCAGTTTGCAAACACTCTTTTTGTAGAATCTGCAAGTGGAGATTTGGACCGCTTTGAGGCCTGTGGTAGTGAAGGAAAGAACTTCATATAAAAACCAGACGGTAGCACTCTCAGAAAATTCTTTGTGACGATGGAGTTTAACTCAGGGAGCTGAACATTCGTTATGATGGAGCAGTTTCCAAACACACGTTTTGTAGAATCTGCGAGGGGATATTTGGACCTCTCTGAGGATTTCGTTGGAAACGGGATCAACTTCCCATAACTGAACGGAAGCAAACTCAGAACATTCTTTGTGATGTTTGAATTCAACTCACAGAGTTGAACCTTCCTTTGATAGTTCAGGTTTGCAACACCCTTGTAGTAGAATCTGCAAGTGTATATTTTGACCACTTTGTAGCCTTCGTTTGAAACGTCTATATCTTCACATCAAACCTAGACAGAAGCATTCTCAGAAAGTTTTCTGCGATGACTGCATTCAACTCACAGAGTTGAACAATCCTTCTGATGGAGCAGTTTTGAAACCCTCTTTCTTTGGAATCTGCAAGGGAATATGTGGACCTCTTTGAAGATTTCACTGGAAACGGGATCATCTTCACATAAAAACTAAACAGAAGCATTCTCGGAAACTACTTTGTGATGTTTGTATTCAACTCCCAGAGTTGAACTTTCCTTTTGAAAGAGCAGCTATGAAACACTCTTTTTCGAGAATCTGCAAGTGGACGTTTGGAGGGCTTTGAGGCCTGTGGTGGAAAAGGAAATATCTTCACACAAAAACCAGATAGAAGCATTCTCAGAAACTACTTTGTGAGGATGGCATTCAACTCATGGAGTTGAACAATCCTATTGATAGAGCAGATTGGAATCACTCTTTTTATAGAATCTGCAAATGGAGATTTGGACTGCTTTGAGGCCTACGGTAGTACAGGAAGGAACTTCATATAAAAGGCAAACGGAAGCATTCTCAGAATATTCTTTGTGATGATGGAGTTTCACTCACAGAGCTGAACATGCCTTTTGATGGAGCAGTTTCCAAATACACTTTTGGTAGAATCTGCAGGTGGATATTTGGAGCTCTCTGAGGATTTCGTTGGAAACGGGAATAATTTCCCATAACTAAACACAAACACTCTGAGAAAGTTCTTCATGATGAATGCATTTAACTCGCAGAGATGAACCTGCCTTTGAGAGTTCAGGTTCGAAACACTCTTTCTGTAGAATCTGCAAGTGGATATTTGGACCACTGGGTGGCCTTCGTTCGAAACGGGTATATGTTCACGTAAAAACTAAAGAGAAGCATTCTCAGAAACTTCTGAGTGATGATTGCATTCAAGTCACACAGTTGAACCCTCCTTTTGATGGAGCAGTTTTGAAACTGTCTTTTTGTAGAATCTGTAAGTGGATACGTGGACCTCTTTGAAGATTTCTTTGGAAACGGGAATATTTCCACAGAAAAACTAAACTGAAGCATTCTCAGAAACTGCTTTGTGATGTTTGTGTTCGAGCCACAGAGTTTAACATTGCTTTTCATAGAGCAGTTTTGAAATATTCTTTTGGCAGAATCTGCAAGTGGACATTTGGAGCGCTTTCAGGCCTGTGGTGGAAAAGGCCTGAAAGCCTTTTCCTTTATCTTCACAGAAAGACGAGAGAGAAAGCATTGTCAGAAACTTCTTTGTGATGATTGCATTCAACTCACAGTAGTTGAAGATTCCTTTTGAAACAGCAGTTTCGAAACACTCTTTCTGTGGGATCCGCAAGGGGATATTTGGACCTCTTTGAAGGTTTCGTTGGAAACGGGATAATCTTCACCTAAAAGCTAAACGGAAGCATTCTCAGAAACTTCTTTGGGATGTTTGCATTCACCTCACAGAGTTGAACTTTCCCTTTGATAGCGCAGCTTTGACACACTTTTTCTACAATGTGCAAGTGGCTATTGAGCGGGCTTGGAGGACTGTGTTGGAAAAGGAAATATCTTCTCCTAAAAACGACATAGAAGCATTCTCAGAAACTGCTCTGTGATGATTGCATTCAACTCCCAGAGTTGAACATTCCTTTTGATAGAGCAGTTTGCAAACACTCTTTTTGTAGAATCTGCAAGTGGAGATTTGGACCGCTTTGAGGTCTGTGGTAGTGAAGGAAAGAGCTTCATATAAAAACCAGACGGTAGCACTCTCAGAAAATTCTTTGTGACGATGGAGTTTAACTCAGGGAGCTGAACATTCGTTATGATGGAGCAGTTTCCAAACACACGTTTTGTAGAATCTGCAAGGGGATATTTGGACCTCTCTGAGGATTTCGTTGGAAACGGGATCAACTTCCCATAACTGAACGGAAGCAAACTCAGAACATTCTTTGTGATGTTTGTATTCAACTCACAGAGTTGAACCTTCCTTTGATAGTTCAGGTTTGCAACACCCTTGTAGTAGAATCTGCAAGTGTATATTTTGACCACTTTGTAGCCTTCGTTTGAAACGTCTATATCTTCACATCAAACCTAGACAGAAGCATTCTCAGAAAGTTTTCTGCGATGACTGCATTCAACTCACAGAGTTGAACAATCCTTCTGATGGAGCAGTTTTGAAACCCTCTTTCTTTGGAATCTGCAAGGGGATATGTGGACCTCTTTGAAGATTTCACTGGAAACGGGATCATCTTCACATAAAAACTAAACAGAAGCATTCTCGGAAACTACTTTGTGATGTTTGTATTCAACTCCCAGAGTTGAACTTTCCTTTTGAAAGAGCAGCTATGAAACACTCTTTTTCGAGAATCTGCAAGTGGACGTTTGGAGGGCTTTGAGGCCTGTGCTGGAAAAGGAAATATCTTCACGTAAAAACTAGATAGAAGCATTCTCAGAAACGACTTTGTGAGGATGGCATTCAACTCATGGAGTTGAACAATCCTATTGATAGAGCAGATTGGAATCACTCTTTTTGTAGAATCTGCAAATGGAGATTTGGACTGCTTTGAGGCCTACGGTCGTATAGGAAGGAACTTCATATAAAAGGCAAACGGAAGCATTCTCAGAATATTCTTTGTGATGATGGAGTTTCACTCACAGAGCTGAACATGCCTTTTGATGGAGCAGTTTCCAAATACACTTTTGGTAGAATCTGCAGGTGGATATTTGGAGCTCTCTGAGGATTTCGTTGGAAACGGGAATAATTTCCCATAACTAAACACAAACACTCTGAGAAAGTTCTTCATGATGAATGCATTTAACTCGCAGAGATGAACCTGCCTTTGAGAGTTCATGTTCGAAACACTCTTTCTGTAGAATCTGCAAGTGGATATTTGGACCACTGGCTGGCCTTCGTTCGAAACGGGTATATGTTCACGTAAAAACTAAAGAGAAGCATTCTCAGAAACTTCTGAGTGATGATTGCATTCAAGTCACACAGTTGAACCCTCCTTTTGATGGAGCAGTTTTGAAACTGTCTTTTTGTAGAATCTGTAAGTGGATACGTGGACCTCTTTGAAGATTTCTTTGGAAACGGGAATATTTCCACAAAAAAACTAAACTGAAGCATTCTCAGAAACCGCTTTGTGATGTTTGTGTTCGAGTCACAGAGTTTAACATTGCTTTTCATAGAGCAGTTTTGAAATATTCTTTTGGCAGAATCTGCAAGTGGACATTTGGAGCGCTTTCAGGCCTGTGGTGGAAAAGGCCTGAAAGCCTTTTCCTTTACCTTCACAGAAAGACGAGAGAGAAGCATTGTCAGAAACTTCTTTGCGATGATTGCATTCAACTCACAGAGTTGAAGATTCCTTTTGAAACAGCAGTTTCGAAACACTCTTTCTGTGGGATCCGCAAGGGGATATTTGGACCTCTTTGAAGGTTTCGTTGGAAACGGGATAATCTTCACCTAAAAGCTAAACGGAAGCATTCTCAGAAACTTCTTTGGGATGTTTGCATTCACCTCACAGAGTTGAACTTTCCCTTTGATAGCGCAGCTTTGACACACTTTTTCTACAATGTGCAAGTGGCTATTTAGCTGGCTTGGAGGACTGTGTTGGAAAAGGAAATATCTTCTCCTAAAAACGACATAGAAGCATTCTCAGAAACTGCTCTGTGATGATTGCATTCAACTCCCAGAGTTGAACATTCCTTTTGATAGAGCAGTTTGCAAACACTCTTTTTGTAGAATCTGGAAGTGGAGATTTGGACCGCTTTGAGGCCTGTGGTAGTGAAGGAAAGAGCTTCATATAAAAACCAGACGGTAGCAATCTCAGAAAATTCTTTGTGACGATGGAGTTTAACTCAGGGAGCTGAACATTCGTTATGATGGAGCAGTTTCCAAACACACGTTTTGTAGAATCTGCAAGGGGATATTTGGACCTCTCTGAGGATTTCGTTGGAAACGGGATCAACTTCCCATAACTGAACGGAAGCAAACTCAGAACATTCTTTGTGATGTTTGTATTCAACTCACAGAGTTGAACCTTCCTTTGATAGTTCAGGTTTGCAACACCCTTGTAGTAGAATCTGCAAGTGTATATTTTGACCACTTTGTAGCCTTCGTTTGAAACGTCTATATCTTCACATCAAACCTAGACAGAAGCATTCTCAGAAAGTTTTCTGCGATGACTGCATTCAACTCACAGAGTTGAACAATCCTTCTGATGGAGCAGTTTTGAAACCCTCTTTCTTTGGAATCTGCAAGGGGATATGTGGACCTCTTTGAAGATTTCACTGGAAACGGGATCATCTTCACATAAAAACTAAACAGAAGCATTCTCGGAAACTATTTTGTGATGTTTGTATTCAACTCCCAGAGTTGAACTTTCCTTTTGAAAGAGCAGCTATGAAACACTCTTTTTCGAGAATCTGCAAGTGGACGTTTGGAGGGCTTTGAGGCCTGTGGTGGAAAAGGAAATATCTTCACACAAAAACCAGATAGAAGCATTCTCAGAAACTGCTTTGTGAGGATGGCATTCAACTCATGGAGTTGAACAATCCTATTGATAGAGCAGATTGGAATCACTCTTTTTGTAGAATCTGCAAATGGAGATTTGGACTGCTTTGAGGCCTACGGTAGTACAGGAAGGAACTTCATATAAAAGGCAAACGGAAGCATTCTCAGAATATTCTTTGTGATGATGGAGTTTCACTCACAGAGCTGAACATGCCTTTTGATGGAGCAGTTTCCAAATACACTTTTGGTAGAATCTGCAGGTGGATATTTGGAGCTCTCTGAGGATTTCTTTGGAAACGGGAATAATTTCCCATAACTAAACACAAACACTCTGAGAAAGTTCTTCATGATGAATGCATTTAACTCGCAGAGATGAACCTGCCTTTGAGAGTTCAGGTTCGAAACACTCTTTCTGTATAATCTGCAAGTGGATATTTGGACCACTGGGTGGCCTTCGTTCGAAACGGGTATATGTTCACGTAAAAACTAAAGAGAAGCATTCTCAGAAACTTCTGAGTGATGATTGCATTCAAGTCACACGGTTGAACCCTCCTTTTGATGGAGCAGTTTTGAAACTGTCTTTTTGTAGAATCTGTAAGTGGATACGTGGACCTCTTTGAAGATTTCTTTGGAAACGGGAATATTTCCACAGAAAAACTAAACTGAAGCATTCTCAGAAACCGCTTTGTGATGTTTGTGTTCGAGCCGCAGAGTTTAACATTGCTTTTCATAGAGCAGTTTTGAAATATTCTTTTCGCAGAATCTGCAAGTGGACATTTGGAGCGCTTTCAGGCCTGTGGGTGGAAAAGGCCTGAAAGCCTTTTCCTTTATCTTCACAGAAAGACGAGAGAGAAGCATTGTCAGAAACTTCTTTGTGATGATTGCATTCAACTCACAGAGTTGAAGATTCCTTTTGAAACAGCAGTTTCAAAACACTCTTTCTGTGGGATCCGCAAGGGGATATTTAGACCTCTTTGAAGATTTCGTTGGAAACGGAATAATCTTCACCTAAAAGCTAAACGGAAGCATTCTCAGAAACTTCTTTGGGATGTTTGCATTCACCTCACAGAGTTGAACTTTCCCTTTGATAGCGCAGCTTCGACACACTTTTTCTACAATGTGCAAGTGGATATTTAGCGGGCTTGGAGGACTGTGTTGGAAAAGGAAATATCTTCTCCTAAAAACGACATAGAAGCATTCTCAGAAACTGCTCTGTGATGATTGCATTCAACTCCCAGAGTTGAACATTCCTTTTGATAGAGCAGTTTGCAAACACTCTTTTTGTAGAATCTGCAAGTGGAGATTTGGACCGCTTTGAGGCCTGTGGTAGTGAAGGAAAGAACTTCATATAAAAACCAGACGGTAGCACTCTCAGAAAATTCTTTGTGACGATGGAGTTTAACTCAGGGAGCTGAACATTCGTTATGATGGAGCAGTTTCCAAACACACGTTTTGTAGAATCTGCGAGGGGATATTTGGACCTCTCTGAGGATTTCGTTGGAAACGGGATCAACTTCCCATAACTGAACGGAAGCAAACTCAGAACATTCTTTGTTATGTTTGTATTCAACTCACAGAGTTGAACCTTCCTTTGATAGTTCAGGTTTGCAAAACCCTTGTAGTAGAATCTGCAAGTGTATATTTTGACCACTTTGTAGCCTTCGTTTGAAACGTCTATATCTTCACATCAAACCTAGACAGAAGCATTCTCAGAAAGTTTTCTGCGATGACTGCATTCAACTCACAGAGTTGAACAATCCTTTTGATGGAGCAGTTTTGAAACCCTCTTTCTTTGGAATCTGCAAGGGGATATGTGGACCTCTTTGAAGATTTCACTGGAAACGGGATCATCTTCACATAAAAACTAAACAGAAGCATTCTCGGAAACTATTTTGTGATGTTTGTATTCAACTCCCAGAGTTGAACTTTCCTTTTGAAAGAGCAGCTATGAAACACTCTTTTTCGAGAATCTGCAAGTGGACGTTTGGAGGGCTTTGAGGCCTGTGGTGGAAAAGGAAATATCTTCACACAAAAACCAGATAGAAGCATTCTCAGAAACGACTTTGTGAGGATGGCATTCAACTCATGGAGTTGAACAATCCTATTGATACAGCAGATTGGAATCACTCTTTTTGTAGAATGTGCAAATGGAGATTTGGACTGCTTTGAGGCCTACGGTAGTACAGGAAGGAACTTCATATAAAAGGCAAACGGAAGCATTCTCAGAATATTCTTTGTGATGATGGAGTTTCACTCACAGAGCTGAACATGCCTTTTGATGGAGCAGTTTCCAAATACACTTTTGGTAGAATCTGCAGGTGGATATTTGGAGCTCTTTGAGGATTTCGTTGGAAACGGGAATAATTTCCCATAACTAAACACAAACACGCTGAGAAAGTTCTTCATGATGAATGCATTTAACTCGCAGAGATGAACCTGCCTTTGAGAGTTCAGTTTCGAAACACTCTTTCTGTAGAATCTGCAAGTGGATATTTGGACCACTGGGTGGCCTTCGTTCGAAACGGGTATATGTTCACGTAAAAACTAAAGAGAAGCATTCTCAGAAACTTCTGAGTGATGATTGCATTCAAGTCACACAGTTGAACCCTCCTTTTGATGGAGCAGTTTTGAAACTGTCTTTTTGTAGAATCTGTAAGTGGATACGTGGACCTCTTTGAAGATTTCTTTGGAAACGGGAATATTTCCACAGAAAAACTAAACTGAAGCATTCTCAGAAACCGCTTTGTGATGTTTGTGTTCGAGCCACAGAGTTTAACATTGCTTTTCATAGAGCAGTTTTGAAATATTCTTTTCGCAGAATCTGCAAGTGGACATTTGGAGCGCTTTCAGGCCTGTGGTGGAAAAGGCCTGAAAGCCTTTTCCTTTATCTTCACAGAAAGACGAGAGAGAAGCATTGTCAGAAACTTCTTTGTGATGATTGCATTCAACTCACAGAGTTGAAGATTCCTTTTGAAACAGCAGTTTCGAAACACTCTTTCTGTGGGATCCGCAAGGGGATATTTGGACCTCTTTGAAGGTTTCGTTGGAAACGGGATAATCTTCACCTAAAAGCTAAACGGAAGCATTCTCAGAAACTTCTTTGGGATGTTTGCATTCACCTCACAGAGTTGAACTTTCCCTTTGATAGCGCAGCTTTGACACACTGTTTCTACAATGTGCAAGTGGCTATTTAGCGGGCTTGGAGGACTGTGTTGGAAAAGGAAATATCTTCTCCTAAAAACGACATAGAAGCATTCTCAGAAACTGCTCTGTGATGATTGCATTCAACTCCCAGAGTTGAACATTCCTTTTGATAGAGCAGTTTGCAAACACTCTTTTTGTAGAATCTGCAAGTGGAGATTTGGACCGCTTTGAGGTCTGTGGTAGTGAAGGAAAGAACTTCATATAAAAACCACACGGTAGCACTCTCAGAAAATTCTTTGTGACGATGGAGTTTAACTCAGGGAGCTGAACATTCGTTATGATGGAGCAGTTTCCAAACACACGTTTTGTAGAATCTGCAAGGGGATATTGGGACCTCTCTGAGGATTTCGTTGGAAACGGGATCAACTTCCCATAACTGAACGGAAGCAAACTCAGAACATTCTTTGTGATGTTTGTATTCAACTCACAGAGTTGAACCTTCCTTTGATAGTTCAGGTTTGCAACACCCTTGTAGTAGAATCTGCAAGTGTATATTTTGACCACTTTGTAGCCTTCGTTTGAAACGTCTATATCTTCACATCAAACCTAGAAAGAAGCATTCTCAGAAAGTTTTCTGCGATGACTGCATTCAACTCACAGAGTTGAACAATCCTTCTGATGGAGCAGTTTTGAAACCCTCTTTCTTTGGAATCTGCAAGGGGATATGTGGACCTCTTTGAAGATTTCACTGGAAACGGGATCATCTTCACATAAAAACTAAACAGAAGCATTCTCGGAAACTACTTTGTGATGTTTGTATTCAACTCCCAGAGTTGAACTTTCCTTTTGAAAGAGCAGCTATGAAACACTCTTTTTCGAGAATCTGCAAGTGGACGTTTGGAGGGCTTTGAGGCCTGTGGTGGAAAAGGAAATATCTTCACATAAAAACTAGATAGAAGCATTCTCAGAAACGACTTTGTGAGGATGGCATTCAACTCATGGAGTTGAACAATCCTATTGATAGAGCAGATTGGAATCACTCTTTTTGTAGAATCTGCAAATGGAGATTTGGACTGCTTTGAGGCCTACGGTCGTATAGGAAGGAACTTCATATAAAAGGCAAACGGAAGCATTCTCAGAATATTCTTTGTGATGATGGAGTTTCACTCACAGAGCTGAACATGCCTTTTGATGGAGCAGTTTCCAAATACACTTTTGGTAGAATCTGCAGGTGGATATTTGGAGCTCTCTGAGGATTTCGTTGGAAACGGGAATAATTTCCCATAACTAAACACAAACACTCTGAGAAAGTTCTTCATGATGAATGCATTTAACTCGCAGAGATGAACCTGCCTTTGAGAGTTCAGGTTCGAAACACTCTTTCTGTATAATCTGCAAGTGGATATTTGGACCACTGGGTGGCCTTCGTTCGAAACGGGTATATGTTCACGTAAAAACTAAAGAGAAGCATTCTCAGAAACTTCTGAGTGATGATTGCATTCAAGTCACACAGTTGAACCCTCCTTTTGATGGAGCAGTTTTGAAACTGTCTTTTTGTAGAATCTGTAAGTGGATACGTGGACCTCTTTGAAGATTTCTTTGGAAACGGGAATATTTCCACAGAAAAACTAAACTGAAGCATTCTCAGAAACCTCTTTGTGATGTTTGTGTTCGAGCCACAGAGTTTAACATTGCTTTTCATAGAGCAGTTTTGAAATATTCTTTTCGCAGAATCTGCAAGTGGACATTTGGAGCGCTTTCAGGCCTGTGGTGGCAAAGGCCTGAAAGCCTTTTCCTTTATCTTCACAGAAAGACGAGAGAGAAGCATTGTCAGAAACTTCTTTGTGATGATTGCATTCAACTCACAGAGTTGAAGATTCCTTTTGAAACAGCAGTTTCGAAACACTCTTTCTGTGGGATCCGCAAGGGGATATTTGGACCTCTTTGAAGGTTTCGTTGGAAACGGGATAATCTTCACCTAAAAGCTAAACGGAAGCATTCTCAGAAACTTCTTTGGGATGTTTGCATTCACCTCACAGAGTTGAACTTTCCCTTTGATAGCGCAGCTTTGACACACTTTTTCTACAATGTGCAAGTGGCTATTTAGCGGGCTAGGAGGACTGTGTTGGAAAAGGAAATATCTTCTCCTAAAAACGACATAGAAGCATTCTCAGAAACTGCTCTGTGATGATTGCATTCAACTCCCAGAGTTGAACATTCCTTTTGATAGAGCAGTTTGCAAACACTCTTTTTGTAGAATCTGCAAGTGGAGATTTGGACCGCTTTGAGGCCTGTGGTAGTGAAGGAAAGAACTTCATATAAAAACCAGACGGTAGCACTCTCAGAAAATTCTTTGTGACGATGGAGTTTAACTCAGGGAGCTGAACATTCGTTATGATGGAGCAGTTTCCAAACACACGTTTTGTAGAATCTGCAAGGGGATATTTGGACCTCTCTGAGGATTTCGTTGGAAACGGGATCAACTTCCCATAACTGAACGGAAGCAAACTCAGAACATTCTTTGCGATGTTTGTATTCAACCCACAGAGTTGAACCTTCCTTTGATAGTTCAGGTTTGCAACACCCTTGTAGTAGAATCTGTAAGTGTATATTTTGACCACTTTGTAGCCTTCGTTTTAAACGTCTATAACTTCACATCAAACCTAGACAGAAGCATTCTCAGAAAGTTTTCTGCGATGACTGCATTCAACTCACAGAGTTGAACAATCCTTTTGATGGAGCAGTTTTGAAACCCTCTTTCTTTGGAATCTGCAAGGGGATATGTGGACCTCTTTGAAGATTTCACTGGAAACGGGATCATCTTCACATAAGAACTAAACAGAAGCATTCTCGGAAACTACTTTGTGATGTTTGTATTCAACTCCCAGAGTTGAACTTTCCTTTTGAAAGAGCAGCTATGAAACACTCTTTTTCGAGAATCTGCAAGTGGACGTTTGGAGGGCTTTGAGGCCTGTGGTGGAAAAGGAAATATCTTCACATAAAAACTAGATAGAAGCATTCTCAGAAACTACTTTGTGAGGATGGCATTCAACTCATGGAGTTGAACAATCCTATTGATAGAGCAGATTGGAATCACTCTTTTTGTAGAATCTGCAAATGGAGATTTGGACTGCTTTGAGGCCTACGGTAGTATAGGAAGGAACTTCATATAAAAGGCAAACGGAAGCATTCTCAGAATATTCTTTGTGATGATGGAGTTTCACTCACAGAGCTGAACATGCCTTTTGATGGAGCAGTTTCCAACTACACTTTTGGTAGAAACTGCAGGTGGATATTTGGAGCTCTCTGAGGATTTCGTTGGAAACGGGAATAATTTCCCATAACTAAACACAAACACTCTGAGAAAGTTCTTCATGATGAATGCATTTAACTCGCAGAGATGAACCTGCCTTTGAGAGTTCAGGTTCGAAACACTCTTTCTGTAGAATCTGCAAGTGGATATTTGGACCACTGGGTGGCCTTCGTTCGAAACGGGTATATGTTCACGTAAAAACTAAAGAGAAGCATTCTCAGAAACTTCTGAGTGATGATTGCATTCAAGTCACACAGTTGAACCCTCCTTTTGATGGAGCAGTTTTGAAACTGTCTTTTTGTAGAATCTGTAAGTGGATACGTGGACCTCTTTGAAGATTTCTTTGGAAACGGGAATATTTCCACAGAAAAACTAAACTGAAGCATTCTCAGAAACCTCTTTGTGATGTTTGTGTTCGAGCCACAGAGTTTAACATTGCTTTTCATAGAGCAGTTTTGAAATATTCTTTTCGCAGAATCTGCAAGTGGACACTTGGAGCGCTTTCAGGCCTGTGGTGGCAAAGGCCTGAAAGCCTTTTCCTTTATCTTCACAGAAAGACGAGAGAGAAGCATTGTCAGAAACTTCTTTGTGATGATTGCATTCAACTCACAGAGTTGAAGATTCCTTTTGAAACAGCAGTTTCGAAACACTCTTTCTGTGGGATCCGCAAGGGGATATTTGGACCTCTTTGAAGGTTTCGTTGGAAACGGGATAATCTTCACCTAAAAGCTAAACGGAAGCATTCTCAGAAACTTCTTTGGGATGTTTGCATTCACCTCACAGAGTTGAACTTTCCCTTTGATAGCGCAGCTTTGACACACTTTTTCTACAATGTGCAAGTGGCTATTTAGCGGGCTTGGAGGACTGTGTTGGAAAAGGAAATATCTTCTCCTAAAAACGACATAGAAGCACTCTCAGAAAATTCTTTGTGACGATGGAGTTTAACTCAGGGAGCTGAACATTCGTTATGATGGAGCAGTTTCCAAACACACGTTTTGTAGAATCTGCAAGGGGATATTTGGACCTCTCTGAGGATTTCGTTGGAAACGGGATCAACTTCCCATAACTGAACGGAAGCAAACTCAGAACATTCTTTGTGATGTTTGTATTCAACTCACAGAGTTGAACCTTCCTTTGATAGTTCAGGTTGGCAACACCCTTGTAGTAGAATCTGCAAGTGTATATTTTGACCACTTTGTAGCCTTCGTTTGAAACGTCTATATCTTCACATCAAACCTAGACAGAAGCATTCTCAGAAAGTTTTCTGCGATGACTGCATTCAACTCACAGAGTTGAACAATCCTTCTGATGGAGCAGTTTTGAAACCCTCTTTCTTTGGAATCTGCAAGGGGATATGTGGACCTCTTTGAAGATTTCACTGGAAACGGGATCATCTTCACATAAAAACTAAACAGAAGCATTCTCGGAAACTACTTTGTGATGTTTGTATTCAACTCCCAGAGTTGAACTTTCCTTTTGAAAGAGCAGCTATGAAACACTCTTTTTCGAGAATCTGCAAGTGGACGTTTGGAAGGCTTTGAGGCCTGTGGTGGAAAAGGAAATATCTTCACATAAAAACTAGATAGAAGCATTCTCAGAAACGACTTTGTGAGGATGGCATTCAACTCATGGAGTTGAACAATCCTATTGATAGAGCAGATTGGAATCACTCTTTTTGTAGAATCTGCAAATGGAGATTTGGACTGCTTTGAGGCCTACGGTCGTATAGGAAGGAACTTCATATAAAAGGCAAACGGAAGCATTCTCAGAATATTCTTTGTGATGATGGAGTTTCACTCACAGAGCGGAACATGCCTTTTGATGGAGCAGTTTCCAAATACACTTTTGGTAGAATCTGCAGGTGGATATTTGGAGCTCTCTGAGGATTTCGTTGGAAACGGGAATAATTTCCCATAACTAAACACAAACACTCTGAGAAAGTTCTTCATGATGAATGAATTTAACTCGCAGAGATGAACCTGCCTTTGAGAGTTCATGTTCGAAACACTCTTTCTGTAGAATCTGCAAGTGGATATTTGGACCACTGGGTGGCCTTCGTTCGAAACGGGTATATGTTCACGTAAAAACTAAAGAGAAGCATTCTCAGAAACTTCTGAGTGATGATTGCATTCAAGTCACACAGTTGAACCCTCCTTTTGATGGAGCAGTTTTGAAACTGTCTTTTTGTAGAATCTGTAAGTGGATACGTGGACCTCTTTGAAGATTTCTTTGGAAACGGGAATATTTCCACAGAAAAACTAAACTGAAACATTCTCAGAAACCGCTTTGTGATGTTTGTGTTCCAGCCACAGAGTTTAACATTGCTTTTCATAGAGCAGTTTTGAAATATTCTTTTGGCAGAATCTGCAAGTGGACATTTGGAGCGCTTTCAGGCCTGTGGTGGAAAAGGCCTGAAAGCCTTTTCCTTTATCTTCACAGAAAGACGAGAGAGAAGCATTGTCAGAAACTTCTTTGTGATGATTGCATTCAACTCACAGAGTTGAAGATTCCTTTTGAAACAGCAGTTTCGAAACACTCTTTCTGTGGGATCCGCAAGGGGATATTTGCACCTCTTTGAAGGTTTCGTTGGAAACGGGATAATCTTCACCTAAAAGCTAAACGGAAACATTCTCAGAAACTTCTTTGGGATGTTTGCATTCACCTCACAGAGTTGAACTTTCCCTTTGATAGCGCAGCTTTGACACACTTTTTCTACAATGTGCAAGTGGCTATTTAGCGGGCTTGGAGGACTGTGTTGGAAAACGAAATATCTTCTCCTAAAAACGACATAGAAGCATTCTCAGAAACTGCTCTGTGATGATTGCATTCAACTCCCAGAGTTGAACATTCCTTTTGATAGAGCAGTTTGCAAACACTCTTTTTGTAGAATCTGCAAGTGGAGATTTGGACCGCTTTGAGGCCTGTGGTAGTGAAGGAAAGAACTTCATATAAAAACCAGACGGTAGCACTCTCAGAAAATTCTTTGTGACGATGGAGTTTAACTCAGGGAGCTGAACATTCGTTATGATGGAGCAGTTTCCAAACACACGTTTTGTAGAATCTGCAAGGGGATATTTGGACCTCTCTGAGGATTTCGTTGGAAACGGGATCAACTTCCCATAACTGAACGGAAGCAAACTCAGAACATTCTTTGTGATGTTTGTATTCAACTCACAGAGTTGAACCTTCCTTTGATAGTTCAGGTTTGCAACACCCTTGTAGTAGAATCTGCAAGTGTATATTTTGACCACTTTGTAGCCTTCGTTTGAAACATCTATATCTTCACACCAAACCTAGACAGAAGCATTCTCAGAAAGTTTTCTGCGATGACTGCATTCAACTCACAGAGTTGAACAATCCTTCTGATGGAGCAGTTTTGAAACCCTCTTTCTTTGGAATCTGCAAGGGGATATGTGGACCTCTTTGAAGATTTCACTGGAAACGGGATCATCTTCACATAAAAACTAAACAGAAGCATTCTCGGAAACTACTTTGTGATGTTTGTATTCAACTCCCAGAGTTGAACTTTCCTTTTGAAAGAGCAGCTATAAAACACTCTTTTTCGAGAATCTGCAAGTGGACGTTTGGAGGGCTTTGAGGCCTGTGGTGGAAAAGGAAATATCTTCACATAAAAACTAGATAGAAGCATTCTCAGAAACGACTTTGTGAGGATGGCATTCAACTCATGGAGTTGAACAATCCTATTGATAGAGCAGATTGGAATCACTCTTTTTGTAGAATCTGCAAATGGAGATTTGGACTGCTTTGAGGCCTACGGTCGTATAGGAAGGAACTTCAGATAAAAGGCAAACGGAAGCATTCTCAGAATATTCTTTGTGATGATGGAGTTTCACTCACAGAGCTGAACATGCCTTTTGATGGAGCAGTTTCCAAATACACTTTTGGTAGAATCTGCAGGTGGATATTTGGAGCTCTTTGAGGATTTCGTTGGAAACGGGAATAATTTCCCATAACTAAACACAAACACGCTGAGAAAGTTCTTCATGATGAATGCATTTAACTCGCAGAGATGAACCTGCCTTTGAGAGTTCAGGTTCGAAACACTCTTTCTGTATAATCTGCAAGTGGATATTTGGACCACTGGGTGGCCTTCGTTCGAAACGGGTATATGTTCACGTAAAAACTAAAGAGAAGCATTCTCAGAAACTTCTGAGTGATGATTGCATTCAAGTCACACAGTTGAACCCTCCTTTTGATGGAGCAGTTTTGAAACTGTCTTTTTGTAGAATCTGTAAGTGGATACGTGGACCTCTTTGAAGATTTCTTTGGAAACGGGAATATTTCCACAGAAAAACTAAACTGAAGCATTCTCAGAAACCGCTTTGTGATGTTTGTGTTCGAGCCACAGAGTTTAACATTGCTTTTCATAGAGCAGTTTTGAAATATTCTTTTCGCAGAATCTGCAAGTGGACATTTGGAGCGCTTTCAGGCCTGTGGTGGAAAAGGCCTGAAAGCCTTTTCCTTTATCTTCACAGAAAGACGAGAGAGAAGCATTGTCAGAAACTTCTTTGTGATGATTGCATTCAACTCACAGAGTTGAAGATTCCTTTTGAAACAGCAGTTTCGAAACACTCTTTCTGTGGGATCCGCAAGGGGATATTTGGACCTCTTTGAAGGTTTCGTTGGAAACGGGATAATCTTCACCTAAAAGCTAAACGGAAGCATTCTCAGAAACTTCTTTGGGATGTTTGCATTCACCTCACAGAGTTGAACTTTCCCTTTGATAGCGCAGCTTTGACACACTTTTTCTACAATGTGCAAGTGGCTATTTAGCGGGCTTGGAGGACTGTGTTGGAAAAGGAAATATCTTCTAAAAACGACATAGAAGCATTCTCAGAAACTGCTCTGTGATGATTGCATTCAACTCCCAGAGTTGAACATTCCTTTTGATAGAGCAGTTTGCAAACACTCTTTTTGTAGAATCTGCAAGTGGAGATTTGGACCGCTTTGAGGCCTGTGGTAGTGAAGGAAAGAACTTCATATAAAAACCAGACGGTAGCACTCTCAGAAAATTCTTTGTGACGATGGAGTTTAACTCAGGGAGCTGAACATTCGTTATGATGGAGCAGTTTCCAAACACACGTTTTGTAGAATCTGTGAGGGGATATTTGGACCTCTCTGAGGATTTCGTTGGAAACGGGATCAACTTCCCATAACTGAACGGAAGCAAACTCAGAACATTCTTTGTGATGTTTGTATTCAACTCACAGAGTTGAACCTTCCTTTGATAGTTCAGGTTTGCAACACCCTTGTAGTAGAATCTGCAAGTGTATATTTTGACCACTTTGTAGCCTTCGTTTGAAACGTCTATATCTTCACATCAAACCTAGACAGAAGCATTCTCAGAAAGTTTTCTGCGATGACTGCATTCAACTCACAGAGTTGAACAATCCTTCTGATGGAGCAGTTTTGAAACCCTCTTTCTTTGGAATCTGCAAGGGGATATGTGGACCTCTTTGAAGATTTCACTGGAAACGGGATCATCTTCACATAGAAACTAAACAGAAGCATTCTCGGAAACTATTTTGTGATGTTTGTATTCAACTCCCAGAGTTGAACTTTCCTTTTGAAAGAGCAGCTATGAAACACTCTTTTTCGAGAATCTGCAAGTGGACGTTTGGAGGGCTTTGAGGCCTGTGGTGGAAAAGGAAATATCTTCACACAAAAACCAGATAGAAGCATTCTCAGAAACTGCTTTGTGAGGATGGCATTCAACTCATGGAGTTGAACAATCCTTTTGATAGAGCAGATTGGAATCACTCTTTTTGTAGAATCTGCAAATGGAGATTTGGACTGCTTTGAGGCCTACGGTAGTACAGGAAGGAACTTCATATAAAAGGCAAACGGAAGCATTCTCAGAATATTCTTTGTGATGATGGAGTTTCACTCACAGAGCTGAACATGCCTTTTGATGGAGCAGTTTCCAAATACACTTTTGGTAGAATCTGCAGGTGGATATTTGGAGCTCTCTGAGGATTTCGTTGGAAACGGGAATAATTTCCCATAACTAAACACAAACACTCTGAGAAAGTTCTTCATGATGAATGCATTTAACTCGCAGAGATGAACCTGCCTTTGAGAGTTCAGGTTCGAAACACTCTTTCTGTAGAATCTGCAAGTGGATATTTGGACCACTGGGTGGCCTTCGTTCGAAACGGGTATATGTTCACGTAAAAACTAAAGAGAAGCATTCTCAGAAACTTCTGAGTGATGATTGCATTCAAGTCACACGGTTGAACCCTCCTTTTGATGGAGCAGTTTTGAAACTGTCTTTTTGTAGAATCTGTAAGTGGATGCGTGGACCTCTTTGAAGATTTCTTTGGAAACGGGAATATTTCCACAGAAAAACTAAACTGAAGCATTCTCAGAAACCGCTTTGTGATGTTTGTGTTCGAGCCGCAGAGTTTAACATTGCTTTTCATAGAGCAGTTTTGAAATATTCTTTTCGCAGAATCTGCAAGTGGACATTTGGAGCGCTTTCAGGCCTGTGGTGGAAAAGGCCTGAAAGCCTTTTCCTTTATCTTCACAGAAAGACGAGAGAGAAGCATTGTCAGAAACTTCTTTGTGATGATTGCATTCAACTCACAGAGTTGAAGATTCCTTTTGAAACAGCAGTTTCGAAACACTCTTTCTGTGGGATCCGCAAGGGGATATTTGGACCTCTTTGAAGGTTTCGTTGGAAACGGGATAATCTTCACCTAAAAGCTAAACGGAAGCATTCTCAGAAACTTCTTTGGGATGTTTGCATTCACCTCACAGAGTTGAACTTTCCCTTTGATAGCGCAGCTTCGACACACTTTTTCTACAATGTGCAAGTGGCTATTTAGCGGGCTTGGAGGACTGTGTTGGAAAAGGAAATATCTTCTCCTAAAAACGACATAGAAGCATTCTCAGAAACTGCTCTGTGATGATTGCATTCAACTCCCAGAGTTGAACATTCCTTTTGATAGAGCAGTTTGCAAACACTCTTTTTGTAGAATCTGCAAGTGGAGATTTGGACCGCTTTGAGGCCTGTGGTAGTGAAGGAAAGAACTTCATATAAAAACCAGACGGTAGCACTCTCAGAAAATTCTTTGTGACGATGGAGTTTAACTCAGGGAGCTGAACATTCGTTATGATGGAGCAGTTTCCAAACACACGTTTTGTAGAATCTGCGAGGGGATATTTGGACCTCTCTGAGGATTTCTTTGGAAACGGGATCAACTTCCCATAACTGAACGGAAGCAAACTCAGAACATTCTTTGTGATGTTTGTATTCAACTCACAGAGTTGAACCTTCCTTTGATAGTTCAGGTTTGCAACACCCTTGTAGTAGAATCTGCAAGTGTATATTTTGACCACTTTGTAGCCTTCGTTTGAAACGTCTATATCTTCACATCAAACCTAGAAAGAAGCATTCTCAGAAAGTTTTCTGCGATGACTGCATTCCACTCACAGAGTTGAACAATCCTTCTGATGGAGCAGTTTTGAAACCCTCTTTCTTTGGAATCTGCAAGGGGATATGTGGACCTCTTTGAAGATTTCACTGGAAACGGGATCATCTTCACATAAAAACTAAACAGAAGCATTCTCGGAAACTACTTTGTGATGTTTGTATTCAACTCCCAGAGTTGAACTTTCCTTTTGAAAGAGCAGCTATGAAACACTCTTTTTCGAGAATCTGCAAGTGGACGTTTGGAGGGCTTTGAGGCCTGTGGTGGAAAAGGAAATATCTTCACATTAAAACTAGATAGAATCATTCTCAGAAACGACTTTGTGAGGATGGCATTCAACTCATGGAGTTGAACAATCCTATTGATAGAGCAGATTGGAATCACTCTTTTTGTAGAATCTGCAAATGGAGATTTGGACTGCTTTGAGGCCTACGGTAGTATAGGAAGGAACTTCATATAAAAGGCAAACGGAAGCATTCTCAGAATATTCTTTGTGATGATGGAGTTTCACTCACAGAGCTGAACATGCCTTTTGATGGAGCAGTTTCCAAATACACTTTTGGTAGAATCTGCAGGTGGATATTTGGAGCTCTCTGAGGATTTCGTTGGAAACGGGAATAATTTCCCATAACTAAACACAAACACTCTGAGAAAGTTCTTCATGATGAATGCATTTAACTCGCAGAGATGAACCTGCCTTTGAGAGTTCAGGTTCGAAACACTCTTTCTGTATAATCTGCAAGTGGATATTTGGACCACTGGGTGGCCTTCGTTCGAAACGGGTATATGTTCACGTAAAAACTAAAGAGAAGCATTCTCAGAAACTTCTGAGTGATGATTGCATTCAAGTCACACAGTTGAACCCTCCTTTTGATGGAGCAGTTTTGAAACTGTCTTTTTGTAGAATCTGTAAGTGGATACGTGGACCTCTTTGAAGATTTCTTTGGAAACGGGAATATTTCCACAGAAAAACTAAACTGAAGCATTCTCAGAAACCGCTTTGTGATGTTTGTGTTCGAGCCACAGAGTTTAACATTGCTTTTCATAGAGCAGTTTTGAAATATTCTTTTCGCAGAATCTGCAAGTGGACATTTGGAGCGCTTTCAGGCCTGTGGTGGCAAAGGCCTGAAAGCCTTTTCCTTTATCTTCACAGAAAGACGAGAGAGAAGCATTGTCAGAAACTTCTTTGTGATGATTGCATTCAACTCACAGAGTTGAAGATTCCTTTTGAAACAGCAGTTTCGAAACACTCTTTCTGTGGGATCCGCAAGGGGATATTTGGACCTCTTTGAAGGTTTCGTTGGAAACGGGATAATCTTCACCTAAAAGCTAAACGGAAGCATTCTCAGAAACTTCTTTGGGATGTTTGCATTCACCTCACAGAGTTGAACTTTCCCTTTGATAGCGCAGCTTTGACACACTTTTTCTACAATGTGCAAGTGGCTATTTAGCGGGCTTGGGGGACTGTGTTGGAAAAGGAAATATCTTCTCCTAAAAACGACATAGAAGCATTCTCAGAAACTGCTCTGTGATGATTGCATTCAACTCCCAGAGTTGAACATTCCTTTTGATAGAGCAGTTTGCAAACACTCTTTTTGTAGAATCTGCAAGTGGAGATTTGGACCGCTTTGAGGCCTGTGGTAGTGAAGGAAAGAACTTCATATAAAAACCAGACGGTAGCACTCTCAGAAAATTCTTTGTGACGATGGAGTTTAACTCAGGGAGCTGAACATTCGTTATGATGGAGCAGTTTCCGAACACACGTTTTGTAGAATCTGCAAGGGGATATTTGGACCTCTCTGAGGATTTCATTGGAAACGGGATCAACTTCCCATAACTGAACGGAAGCAAACTCAGAACATTCTTTGTGATGTTTGTATTCAACTCCCAGAGTTGAAATTTCCTTTTGAAAGAGCAGCTATGAAACACTCTTTTTCGAGAATCTGCAAGTGGACGTTTGGAGGGCTTTGAGGCCTGTGGTGGAAAAGGAAATATCTTCACATAAAAACTAGATAGAAGCATTCTCAGAAACTACTTTGTGAGGATGGCATTCAACTCATGGAGTTGAACAATCCTATTGATAGAGCAGATTGGAATCACTCTTTTTGTAGAATCTGCAAATGGAGATTTGGACTGCTTTGAGGCCTACGGTAGTATAGGAAGGAACTTCATATAAAAGGCAAACGGAAGCATTCTCAGAATATTCTTTGTGATGATGGAGTTTCACTCACAGAGCTGAACATGCCTTTTGATGGAGCAGTTTCCAAATACACTTTTGGTAGAATCTGCAGGTGGATATTTGGAGCTCTCTGAGGATTTCGTTGGAAAAGGGAATAATTTCCCATAACTAAACACAAACACTCTGAGAAAGTTCTTCATGATGAATGCATTTAACTCGCAGAGATGAACCTGCCTTTGAGAGTTCAGGTTCGAAACACTCTTTCTGTAGAATCTGCAAGTGGATATTTGGACCACTGGCTGGCCTTCGTTCGAAACGGGTATATGTTCACGTAAAAACTAAAGAGAAGCATTCTCAGAAACTTCTGAGTGATGATTACATTCAAGTCACACAGTTGAACCCTCCTTTTGATTGAGCAGTTTTGAAACTGTCTTTTTGTAAAATCTGTAAGTGGATACGTGGACCTCTTTGAATATTTCTTTGGAAACGGGAATATTTCCACAGAAAAACTAAACTGAAGCATTCTCAGAAACTGCTTTGTGATGTTTGTGTTCGAGCCACAGAGTTTAACATTGCTTTTCATAGAGCAGTTTTGAAATATTCTTTTGGCAGAATCTGCAAGTGGACATTTGGAGCGCTTTCAGGCCTGTGGTTGAAAAGGCCTGAAAGCCTTTTCCTTTATCTTCACAGAAAGACGAGAGAGAAGCATTGTCAGAAACTTCTTTGTGATGATTGCATTCAACTCACAGAGTTGAAGATTCCTTTTGAAACAGCAGTTTCGAAACACTCTTTCTGTGGGATCCGCAAGGGGATATTTGGACCTCTTTGAAGCTTTCGTTGGAAACGGGATAATCTTCACCTAAAAGCTAAACGGAAGCACTCTCAGAAACTTCTTTGGGATGTTTGCATTCACCTCACAGAGTTGAACTTTCCCTTTGATAGCGCAGCTTTGACACACTTTTTCTACAATGTGCAAGTGGATATTTAGCGGGCGTGGAGGACTGTGTTGGAAAAGGAAATATCTTCTCCTAAAAACGACATAGAAGCATTCTCAGAAACTGCTCTGTGATGATTGCATTCAACTCCCAGGGTTGAACATTCCTTTTGATAGAGCAGTTTGCAAACACTCTTTTTGTAGAATCTGCAAGTGGAGATTTGGACCGCTTTGAGGCCTATGGTAGTAAAGGAAAGAACTTCATATAAAAACCAGACGGTAGCACTCTCAGAAAATTCTTTGTGACGATGGAGTTTAACTCAGGGAGCTGAACATTCGTTATGATGGAGCAGTTTCCAAACACACGTTTTGTAGAATCTGCAAGGGGATATTTGGACCTCTCTGAGGATTTCGCTGGAAACGGGATCAACTTCCCATAACTGAACGGAAGCAAACTCAGAACATTCTTTGTGATGTTTGTATTCAACTCACAGAGTTGAACCTTCCTTTGATAGTTCAGGTTTGCAACACCCTTGTAGTAGAATCTGCAAGTGTATATTTTGACCACTTTGTAGCCTTCGTTTGAAACGTCTATATCTTCACATCAAACCTAGAAAGAAGCATTCTCAGAAAGTTTTCTGCGATGACTGCATTCAACTCACAGAGTTGAACAATCCTTCTGATGGAGCAGTTTTGAAACCCTCTTTCTTTGGAATCTGCAAGGGGATATGTGGACCTCTTTGAAGATTTCACTGGAAACGGGATCATCTTCACATAAAAACTAAACAGAAGCATTCTCGGAAACTATTTTGTGATGTTTGTATTCAACTCCCAGAGTTGAACTTTCCTTTTGAAAGAGCAGCTATGAAACACTCTTTTTCGAGAATCTGCAAGTGGACGTTTGGAGGGCTTTGAGGCCTGTGGTGGAAAAGGAAATATCTTCACACAAAAACCAGATAGAAGCATTCTCAGAAACTACTTTGTGAGGATGGCATTCAACTCATGGAGTTGAACAATCCTATTGATAGAGCAGATTGGAATCACTCTTTTTGTAGAATCTGCAAATGGAGATTTGGACTGCTTTGAGGCCTACGGTCGTATAGGAAGGAACTTCAGATAAAAGGCAAACGGAAGCATTCTCAGAATATTCTTTGTGATGATGGAGTTTCACTCACAGAGCTGAACATGCCTTTTGATGGAGCAGTTTCCAAATACACTTTTGGTAGAATCTGCAGGTGGATATTTGGACCACTCTGAGGATTTCGTTGGAAACGGGAATAATTTCCCATAACTAAGCACAAACACTCTGAGAAAGTTCTTCATGATGAATGCATTTAACTCGCAGAGATGAACCTGCCTTTGAGAGTTCAGGTTCGAAACACTCTTTCTGTATAATCTGCAAGTGGATATTTGGACCACTGGGTGGCCTTCGTTCGAAACGGGTATATGTTCACGTAAAAACTAAAGAGAAGCATTCTCAGAAACTTCTGAGTGATGATTGCATTCAAGTCACACAGTTGAACCCTCCTTTTGATGGAGCAGTTTTGAAACTGTCTTTTTGTAGAATCTGTAAGTGGATACGTGGACCTCTTTGAAGATTTCTTTGGAAACGGGAATATTTCCACAGAAAAACTAAACTGAAGCATTCTCAGAAACTGCTTTGTGATGTTTGTGTTCGAGCCACAGAGTTTAACATTGCTTTTCATAGAGCAGTTTTGAAATATTCTTTTGGCAGAATCTGCAAGTGGACATTTGGAGCGCTTTCAGGCCTGTGGTGGAAAAGGCCTGAAAGCCTTTTCCTTTATTTTCACAGAAAGACGAGAGAGAAGCATTGTCAGAAACTTCTTTGTGATGATTGCATTCAACTCACAGAGTTGAAGATTCCTTTTGAAACAGCAGTTTCGAAACACTCTTTCTGTGGGATCCGCAAGGGGATATTTGGACCTCTTTGAAGGTTTCGTTGGAAACGGGATAATCTTCACCTAAAAGCTAAACGGAAGCATTCTCAGAAACTTCTTTGGGATGTTTGCATTCACCTCACAGAGTTGAACTTTCCCTTTGATAGCGCAGCTTTGACACACTTTTTCTACAATGTGCAAGTGGCTATTTAGCGGGCTTGGAGGATTGTGTTGGAAAAGGAAATATCTTCTCCTAAAAACGACATAGAAGCATTCTCAGAAACTGCTCTGTGATGATTGCATTCAACTCCCAGAGTTGAACATTCCTTTTGATAGAGCAGTTTGCAAACACTCTTTTTGTAGAATCTGCAAGTGGAGACTTGGACCGCTTTGAGGCCTGTGGTAGTGAAGGAAAGAACTTCATATAAAAACCATACGGTAGCACTCTCAGAAAATTCTTTGTGACGATGGAGTTTAACTCAGGGAGCTGAACATTCGTTATGATGGAGCAGTTTCCAAACACACGTTTTGTAGAATCTGCAAGGGGATATTTGGACCTCTCTGAGGATTTCGTTGGAAACGGGATCAACTTCCCATAACTGAACGGAAGCAAACTCAGAACATTCTTTGTGATGTTTGTATTCAACTCACAGAGTTGAACCTTCCTTTGATAGTTCAGGTTTGCAACACCCTTGTAGTAGAATCTGCAAGTGTATATTTTGACCACTTTGTAGCCTTCGTTTGAAACGTCTATATCTTCACATCAAACCTAGAAAGAAGCATTCTCAGAAAGTTTTCTGCGATGACTGCATTCAACTCACAGAGTTGAACAATCCTTCTGATGGAGCAGTTTTGAAACCCTCTTTCTTTGGAATCTGCAAGGGGATATGTGGACCTCTTTGAAGATTTCACTGGAAACGGGATCATCTTCACATAAAAACTAAACAGAAGCATTCTCGGAAACTACTTTGTGATGTTTGTATTCAACTCCCAGAGTTGAACTTTCCTTTTGAAAGAGCAGCTATGAAACACTCTTTTTCGAGAATCTGCAAGTGGACGTTTGGAAGGCTTTGAGGCCTGTGGTGGAAAAGGAAATATCTTCACATAAAAACTAGATAGAAGCATTCTCAGAAACGACTTTGTGAGGATGGCATTCAACTCATGGAGTTGAACAATCCTATTGATAGAGCAGATTGGAATCACTCTTTTTGTAAAATCTGCAAATGGAGATTTGGACTGCTTTGAGGCCTACGGTCGTATAGGAAGGAACTTCAGATAAAAGGCAAACGGAAGCATTCTCAGAATATTCTTTGTGATGATGGAGTTTCACTCACAGAGCTGAACATGCCTTTTGATGGAGCAGTTTCCAAATACACTTTTGGTAGAATCTGCAGGTGGATATTTGGAGCTCTCTGAGGATTTCGTTGGAAACGGGAATAATTTCCCATAACTAAACACAAACACTCTGAGAAAGTTCTTCATGATGAATGCATTTAACTCGCAGAGATGAACCTGCCTTTGAGAGTTCAGGTTCGAAACACTCTTTCTGTAGAATCTGCAAGTGGATATTTGGACCACTGGGTGGCCTTCGTTCGAAACGGGTATATGTTCACGTAAAAACTAAAGAGAAGCATTCTCAGAAACTTCTGAGTGATGATTGCATTCAAGTCACACGGTTGAACCCTCCTTTTGATGGAGCAGTTTTGAAACTGTCTTTTTGTAGAATCTGTAAGTGGATACGTGGACCTCTTTGAAGATTTCTTTGGAAACGGGAATATTTCCACAGAAAAACTAAACTGAAGCATTCTCAGAAACCGCTTTGTGATGTTTGTGTTCGAGCCACAGAGTTTAACATTGCTTTTCATAGAGCAGTTTTGAAATATTCTTTTCGCAGAATCTGCAAGTGGACATTTGGAGCGCTTTCAGGCCTGTGGTGGAAAAGGCCTGAAAGCCTTTTCCTTTATCTTCACAGAAAGACGAGAGAGAAGCATTGTCAGAAACTTCTTTGTGATGATTGCATTCAACTCACAGAGTTGAAGATTCCTTTTGAAACAGCAGTTTCGAAACACTCTTTCTGTGGGATCCGCAAGGGGATATTTGGACCTCTTTGAAGGTTTCGTTGGAAACGGGATAATCTTCACCTAAAAGCTAAACGGAAGCATTCTCAGAAACTTCTTTGGGATGTTTGCATTCACCTCACAGAGTTGAACTTTCCCTTTGATAGCGCAGCTTTGACACACTTTTTCTACAATGTGCAAGTGGCTATTTAGCGGGCTTGGAGGACTGTGTTGGAAAAGGAAATATCTTCTCCTAAAAACGACATAGAAGCATTCTCAGAAACTGCTCTGTGATGATTGCATTCAACTCCCAGAGTTGAACATTCCTTTTGATAGAGCAGTTTGCAAACACTCTTTTTGTAGAATCTGCAAGTGGAGATTTGGACCGCTTTGAGGCCTGTGGTAGTGAAGGAAAGAACTTCATATAAAAACCAGACGGTAGCACTCTCAGAAAATTCTTTGTGACGATGGAGTTTAACTCAGGGAGCTGAACATTCGTTATGATGGAGCAGTTTCCAAACACACGTTTTGTAGAATCTGCGAGGGGATATTTGGACCTCTCTGAGGATTTCGTTGGAAACGGGATCAACTTCCCATAACTGAACGGAAGCAAACTCAGAACATTCTTTGTTATGTTTGTATTCAACTCACAGAGTTGAACCTTCCTTTGATAGTTCAGGTTTGCAAAACCCTTGTAGTAGAATCTGCAAGTGTATATTTTGACCACTTTGTAGCCTTCGTTTGAAACGTCTATATCTTCACATCAAACCTAGACAGAAGCATTCTCAGAAAGTTTTCTGCGATGACTGCATTCAACTCACAGAGTTGAACAATCCTTTTGATGGAGCAGTTTTGAAACCCTCTTTCTTTGGAATCTGCAAGGGGATATGTGGACCTCTTTGAAGATTTCACTGGAAACGGGATCATCTTCACATAAAAACTAAACAGAAGCATTCTCGGAAACTATTTTGTGATGTTTGTATTCAACTCCCAGAGTTGAACTTTCCTTTTGAAAGAGCAGCTATGAAACACTCTTTTTCGAGAATCTGCAAGTGGACGTTTGGAGGGCTTTGAGGCCTGTGGTGGAAAAGGAAATATCTTCACACAAAAACCAGATAGAAGCATTCTCAGAAACGACTTTGTGAGGATGGCATTCAACTCATGGAGTTGAACAATCCTATTGATAGAGCAGATTGGAATCACTCTTTTTGTAGAATCTGCAAATGGAGATTTGGACTGCTTTGAGGCCTACGGTAGTACAGGAAGGAACTTCATATAAAAGGCAAACGGAAGCATTCTCAGAATATTCTTTGTGATGATGGAGTTTCACTGACAGAGCTGAACATGCCTTTTGATGGAGCAGTTTCCAAATACACTTTTGGTAGAATCTGCAGGTGGATATTTGGAGCTCTCTGAGGATTTCGTTGGAAACGGGAATAATTTCCCATAACTAAACACAAACACTCTGAGAAAGTTCTTCATGATGAATGCATTTAACTCGCAGAGATGAACCTGCCTTTGAGAGTTCAGGTTCGAAACACTCTTTCTGTAGAATCTGCAAGTGGATATTTGGACCACTGGGTGGCCTTCGTTCGAAACGGGTATATGTTCACGTAAAAACTAAAGAGAAGCATTCTCAGAAACTTCTGAGTGATGATTGCATTCAAGTCACACAGTTGAACCCTCCTTTTGATGGAGCAGTTTTGAAACTGTCTTTTTGTAGAATCTGTAAGTGGATACGTGGACCTCTTTGAAGATTTCTTTGGAAACGGGAATATTTCCACAGAAAAACTAAACTGAAGCATTCTCAGAAACTGCTTTGTGATGTTTGTGTTCGAGCCACAGAGTTTAACATTGCTTTTCATAGAGCAGTTTTGAAATATTCTTTTAGCAGAATCTGCAAGTGGACATTTGGAGCGCTTTCAGGCCTGTGGTGGAAAAGGCCTGAAAGCCTTTTCCTTTATCTTCACAGAAAGACGAGAGAGAAGCATTGCCAGAAACTTCTTTGTGATGATTGCATTCAACTCACAGAGTTGAAGATTCCTTTTGAAACAGCAGTTTCGAAACACTCTTTCTGTGGGATCCGCAAGGGGATATTTGGACCTCTTTGAAGGTTTCGTTGGAAACGGGATAATCTTCACCTAAAAGCTAAACGGAGCATTCTCAGAAACTTCTTTGGGATGTTTGCATTCACCTCACAGAGTTGAACTTTCCCTTTGATAGCGCAGCTTTGACACACTTTTTCTACAATGTGCAAGTGGCTATTTAGCGGGCTTGGAGGACTGTGTTGGAAAAGGAAATATCTTCTCCTAAAAACGACATAGAAGCATTCTCAGAAACTGCTCTGTGATGATTGCATTCAACTCCCAGAGTTGAACATTCCTTTTGATAGAGCAGTTTGCAAACACTCTTTTTGTAGAATCTGCAAGTGGAGATTTGGACCGCTTTGAGGCCTGGGGTAGTGAAGGAAAGAGCTTCATATAAAAACCAGACGGTAGCACTCTCAGAAAATTCTTTGTGACGATGGAGTTTAACTCAGGGAGCTGAACATTCGTTATGATGGAGCAGTTTCCAAACACACGTTTTGTAGAATCTGCAAGGGGATATTTGGACCTCTCTGAGGATTTCGTTGGAAACGGGATCAACTTCCCATAACTGAACGGAAGCAAACTCAGAACATTCTTTGTGATGTTTGTATTCAACTCACAGAGTTGAACCTTCCTTTGATAGTTCAGGTTTGCAACACCCTTGTAGTAGAATCTGCAAGTGTATATTTTGACCACTTTGTAGCCTTCGTTTGAAACGTCTATATCTTCACATCAAACCTAGACAGAAGCATTCTCAGAAAGTTTTCTGCGATGACTGCATTCAACTCACAGAGTTGAACAATCCTTCTGATGGAGCAGTTTTGAAACCCTCTTTCTTTGGAATCTGCAAGGGGATATGTGGACCTCTTTGAAGATTTCACTGGAAACGGGATCATCTTCACATAAAAACTAAACAGAAGCATTCTCGGAAACTACTTTGTGATGTTTGTATTCAACTCCCAGAGTTGAACTTTCCTTTTGAAAGAGCAGCTATGAAACACTCTTTTTCGAGAATCTGCAAGTGGACGTTTGGAGGGCTTTGAGGCCTGTGGTGGAAAAGGAAATATCTTCACATAAAAACTAGATAGAAGCATTCTCAGAAACTACTTTGTGAGGATGGCATTCAACTCATGGAGTTGAACAATCCTATTGATAGAGCAGATTGGAATCACTCTTTTTGTAGAATCTGCAAATGGAGATTTGGACTGCTTTGAGGCCTACGGTAGTATAGGAAGGAACTTCATATAAAAGGCAAACGGAAGCATTCTCAGAATATTCTTTGTGATGATGGAGTTTCACTCACAGAGCTGAACATGCCTTTTGATGGAGCAGTTTCCAAATACACTTTTGGTAGAATCTGCAGGTGGATATTTGGAGCTCTCCGAGGATTTCGTTGGAAACGGGAATAATTTCCCATAACTAAACACAAACACTCTGAGAAAGTTCTTCATGATGAATGCATTTAACTCGCAGAGATGAACCTGCCTTTGAGAGTTAATGTTCGAAACACTCTTTCTGTAGAATCTGCAAGTGGATATTTGGACCACTGGCTGGCCTTCGTTCGAAACGGGTATATGTTCACGTAAAAACTAAAGAGAAGCATTCTCAGAAACTTCTGAGTGATGATTGCATTCAAGTCACACAGTTGAACCCTCCTTTTGATGGAGCAGTTTTGAAACTGTCTTTTTGTAGAATCTGTAAGTGGATACGTGGACCTCTTTGAAGATTTCTTTGGAAACGGGAATATTTCCACAGAAAAACTAAACTGAAGCATTCTCAGAAACCGCTTTGTGATGTTTGTGTTCGAGCCACAGAGTTTAACATTGCTTTTCATAGAGCAGTTTTGAAATATTCTTTTCGCAGAATCTGCAAGTGGACATTTGGAGCGCTTTCAGGCCTGTGGTGGAAAAGGCCTGAAAGCCTTTTCCTTTATCTTCACAGAAAGACGAGAGAGAAGCATTGTCAGAAACTTCTTTGTGATGATTGCATTCAACTCACAGAGTTGAAGATTCCTTTTGAAACAGCAGTTTCGAAACACTCTTTCTGTGGGATCCGCAAGGGGATATTTGGACCTCTTTGAAGGTTTCGTTGGAAACGGGATAATCTTCACCTAAAAGCTAAACGGAAGCATTCTCAGAAACTTCTTTGGGATGTTTGCATTCACCTCACAGAGTTGAACTTTCCCTTTGATAGCGCAGCTTTGACACACTTTTTCTACAATGTGCAAGTGGCTATTTAGCGGGCTTGGAGGACTGTGTTGGAAAAGGAAATATCTTCTCCTAAAAACGACATAGAAGCATTCTCAGAAACTGCTCTGTGATGATTGCATTCAACTCCCAGAGTTGAACATTCCTTTTGATAGAGCAGTTTGCACACACTCTTTTTGTAGAATCTGCAAGTGGAGATTTGGACCGCTTTGAGGCCTGTGGTAGTGAAGGAAAGAACTTCATATAAAAACCAGACGGTAGCACTCTCAGAAAATTCTTTGTGACGATGGAGTTTAACTCAGGGAGCTGAACATTCGTTATGATGGAGCAGTTTCCAAACACACGTTTTGTAGAATCTGCAAGGGGATATTTGGACCTCTCTGAGGATTTCGTTGGAAACGGGATCAACTTCCCATAACTGAACGGAAGCAAACTCAGAACATTCTCTGCGATGTTTGTATTCAACCCACAGAGTTGAACCTTCCTTTGATAGTTCAGGTTTGCAACACCCTTGTAGTACATTCTGCAAGTGTATATTTTGACCACTTTGTAGCCTTCGTTTGAAACGTCTATATCTTCACATCAAACCTAGACAGAAGCATTCTCAGAAAGTTTTCTGCGATGACTGCATTCAACTCACAGAGTTGAACAATCCTTTTGATGGAGCAGTTTTGAAACCCTCTTTCTTTGGAATCTGCAAGGGGATATGTGGACCTCTTTGAAGATTTCACTGGAAACGGGATCATCTTCACATAAGAACTAAACAGAAGCATTCTCGGAAACTACTTTGTGATGTTTGTATTCAACTCCCAGAGTTGAACTTTCCTTTTGAAAGAGCAGCTATGAAACACTCTTTTTCGAGAATCTGCAAGTGGACGTTTGGAGGGCTTTGAGGCCTGTGGTGGAAAAGGAAATATCTTCACATAAAAACTAGATAGAAGCATTCTCAGAAACGACTTTGTGAGGATGGCATTCAACTCATGGAGTTGAACAATCCTATTGATAGAGCAGATTGGAATCACTCTTTTTGTAGAATCTGCAAATGGAGATTTGGACTGCTTTGAGGCCTACGGTAGTATAGGAAGGAACTTCATATAAAAGGCAAACGGAAGCATTCTCAGAATATTCTTTGTGATGATGGAGTTTCACTCACAGAGCTGAACATGCCTTTTGATGGAGCAGTTTCCAAATACACTTTTGGTAGAATCTGCAGGTGGATATTTGGACCTCTCTGAGGATTTCGTTGGAAACGGGAATAATTTCCTATACCTAAACACAAACACTCTGAGAAAGTTCTTCATGATGAATGCATTGAACTCGCAGAGATGAACCTGCCTTTGAGAGTTCAGGTTCGAAACACTCTTTCTGTAGAATCTGCAAGTGGATATTTGGACCACTGTGTGGCCTTCGTTCGAAACGGGTATATGTTCACGTAAAAACTAAAGAGAAGCGTTCTCAGAAACTTCTGAGTGATGATTGCATTCAAGTCACACGGTTGAACCCTCCTTTTGATTGAGCAGTTTTGAAACTGTCTTTTTGTAGAATCTGTAAGTGGATGCGTGGACCTCTTTGAAGATTTCTTTTGAAACGGGAATATTTCCACAGAAAAACTAAACTGAAGCATTCTCAGAAACTGCTTTGTGATGTTTGTGTTCGAGCCACAGAGTTTAACATTGCTTTTCATAGAGCAGTTTTGAAATATTCTTTTGGCAGAATCTGCAAGTGGACATTTGGAGCGCTTTCAGGCCTGTGGTGGAAAAGGCCTGAAAGCCTTTTCCTTTATCTTCACAGAAAGACGAGAGAGAAGCATTGTCAGAAACTTCTTTGTGATGATTGCATTCAACCCACAGAGTTGAAGATTCCTTTTGAAACAGCAGTTTCGAAACACTCTTTCTGTGGGATCCGCAAGGGGATATTTGGACCTCTTTGAAGATTTCGTTGGAAACGGGATAATCTTCACCTAAAAGCTAAACGGAAGCATTCTCAGAAACTTCTTTGGGATGTTAGCATTCACCTCACAGAGTTGAACTTTCCCTTTGATAGCGCAGCTTCGACACACTTTTTCTACAATGTGCAAGTGGATATTTAGCGGGCTTGGAGGACTGTGTTGGAAAAGGAAATATCTTCTCCTAAAAACGACATAGAAGCATTCTCAGAAACTGCTCTGTGATGATTGCATTCAACTCCCAGAGTTGAACATTCCTTTTGATAGAGCAGTTTGCAAACACTCTTTTTGTAGAATCTGCAAGTGGAGATTTGGACCGCTTTGAGGCCTGTGGTAGTAAAGGAAAGAACTTCATATAAAAACCAGACGGTAGCACTCTCAGAAAATTCTTTGTGACGATGGAGTTTAACTCAGAGAGCTGAACATTCGTTATGATGGAGCAGTTTCCAAACACACGTTTTGTAGAATCTGCAAGGGGATATTTGGACCTCTCTGAGGATTTCGTTGGAAACGGGATCAACTTCCCATAACTGAACGGAAGCAAACTCAGAACATTCTTTGTGATGTTTGTATTCAACTCACAGAGTTGAACCTTCCTTTGATAGTTCAGGTTTGCAACACCCTTGTAGTAGAATCTGCAAGTGTATATTTTGACCACTTTGTAGCCTTCGTTTGAAACGTCTATATCTTCACATCAAACCTAGAAAGAAGCATTCTCAGAAAGTTTTCTGCGATGACTGCATTCAACTCACAGAGTTGAACAATCCTTTTGATGGAGCAGTTTTGAAACCCTCTTTCTTTGGAATCTGCAAGGGGATATGTGGACCTCTTTGAAGATTTCACTGGAAACGGGATCATCTTCACATAAGAACTAAACAGAAGCATTCTCGGAAACTACTTTGTGATGTTTGTATTCACCTCCCAGAGTTGAACTTTCCTTTTGAAAGAGCAGCTATGAAACACTCTTTTTCGAGAATCTGCAAGTGGACGTTTGGAGGGCTTTGAGGCCTGTGGTGGAAAAGGAAATATCTTCACATAAAAACTAGATAGAAGCATTCTCAGAAACTACTTTGTGAGGACGGCATTCAACTCATGGAGTTGAACAGTCCTATTGATAGAGCAGATTGGAATCACTCTTTTTGTAGAATCTGCAAATGGAGATTTGCACTGCTTTGAGGCCTACGGTAGTATAGGAAGGAACTTCATATAAAAGGCAAACGGAAGCATTCTCAGAATATTCTTTGTGATGATGGAGTTTCACTCACAGGGCTGAACATGCCTTTTGATGGAGCAGTTTCCAAATACACTTTTGGTAGAATCTGCAGGTGGATATTTGGAGCTCTCTGAGGATTTCGTTGGAAACGGGAATAATTTCCCATAACTAAACACAAACACGCTGAGAAAGTTCTTCATGATGAATGCATTTAACTCGCAGAGATGAACCTGCCTTTGAGAGTTCAGGTTCGAAACACTCTTTCTGTAGAATCTGCAAGTGGATATTTGGACCACTGGCTGGCCTTCGTTCGAAACGGGTATATGTTCACGTAAAAACTAAAGAGAAGCGTTCTCAGAAACTTCTGAGTGATGATTGCATTCTAGTCACACAGTTGAACCCTCCTTTTGATTGAGCAGTTTTGAAACTGTCTTTTTGTAGAATCTGTAAGTGGATGCGTGGACCTCTTTGAAGATTTCTTTGGAAACGGGAATATTTCCACAGAAAAACTAAACTGAAGCATTCTCAGAAACCGCTTTGTGATGTTTGTGTTCGAGCCACAGAGTTTAACATTGCTTTTCATAGAGCAGTTTTGAAATATTCTTTTCGCAGAATCTGCAAGTGGACATTTGGAGCGCTTTCAGGCCTGTGGTGGAAAAGGCCTGAAAGCCTTTTCCTTTATCTTCACAGAAAGACGAGAGAGAAGCATTGTCAGAAACTTCTTTGTGATGATTGCATTCAACTCACAGAGTTGAAGATTCCTTTTGAAACAGCAGTTTCGAAACACTCTTTCTGAGGGATCCGCAAGGGGATATTTGGACCTCTTTGAAGGTTTCGTTGGAAGCGGGATAATCTTCACCTAAAAGCTAAACGGAAGCACTCTCAGAAACTTCTTTGGGATGTTTGCATTCACCTCACAGAGTTGAACTTTCCCTTTGATAGCGCAGCTTTGACACACTTTTTCTACAATGTGCAAGTGGCTATTTAGCGGGCTTGGAGGACTGTGTTGGAAAAGGAAATATCTTCTCCTAAAAACGACATAGAAGCATTCTCAGAAACTGCTCTGTGATGATTGCATTCAACTCCCAGGGTTGAACATTCCTTTTGATAGAGCAGTTTGCAAACACTCTTTTTGTAGAATCTGCAAGTGGAGATTTGGACCGCTTTGAGGCCTATGGTAGTAAAGGAAAGAACTTCATATAAAAACCAGACGGTAGCACTCTCAGAAAATTCTTTGTGACGATGGAGTTTAACTCAGGGAGCTGAACATTCGTTATGATGGAGCAGTTTCCAAACACACGTTTTGTAGAAACTGCAAGGGGATATTTGGACCTCTCTGAGGATTTCGCTGGAAACGGGATCAACTTCCCATAACTGAACGGAAGCAAACTCAGAACATTCTTTGTGATGTTTGTATTCAACTCACAGAGTTGAACCTTCCTTTGATAGTTCAGGTTTGCAACACCCTTGTAGTAGAATCTGCAAGTGTATATTTTGACCACTTTGTAGCCTTCGTTTGAAACGTCTATATCTTCACATCAAACCTAGACAGAAGCATTCTCAGAAAGTTTTCTGCGATGACTGCATTCAACTCACAGAGTTGAACAATCCTTTTGATGGAGCAGTTTTGAAACCCTCTTTCTTTGGAATCTGCAAGGGGATATGTGGACCTCTTTGAAGATTTCACTGGAAACGGGATCATCTTCACATAAAAACTAAACAGAAGCATTCTCGGAAACTACTTTGTGATGTTTGTATTCAACTCCCAGAGTTGAACTTTCCTTTTGAAAGAGCAGCTATGAAACACTCTTTTTCGAGAATCTGCAAGTGGACGTTTGGAGGGCTTTGAGGCCTGTGGTGGAAAAGGAAATATCTTCACATAAAAACTAGATAGAAGCATTCTCAGAAACGACTTTGTGAGGATGGCATTCAACTCATGGAGTTGAACAATCCTATTGATAGAGCAGATTGGAATCACTCTTTTTGTAGAATCTGCAAATGGAGATTTGGACTGCTTTGAGGCCTACGGTAGTATAAGAAGGAACTTCATATAAAAGGCAAAAGGAAGCATTCTCAGAATATTCTTTGTGATGATGGAGTTTCACTCACAGAGCTGAACATGCCTTTTGATGAAGCAGTTGCCAAATACACTTTTGGTAGAATCTGCAGGTGGATATTTGGACCTCTCTGAGGAATTTCGTTGGAAACGGGAATAATTTCCCATACCTAAACACAAACACTCTGAGCAAAGTTCTTCATGATGAATGCATTGAACTCGCAGAGATGAACCTGCCTTTGAGAGTTCAGGTTCGAAACACTCTTTCTGTAGAATCTGCAAGTGGATATTTGGACCACTGGCTGGCCTTCGTTGGAAACGGGTATATGTTCACGTAAAAACTAAAGAGAAGCATTCTCAGAAACTTCTGAGTGATGATTGCATTCAAGTCACACGGTTGAACCCTCCTTTTGATTGAGCAGTTTTGAAACTGTCTTTTTGTAGAATCTGTAAGTGGATACGTGGACCTCTTTGAAGATTTCTTTGGAAACGGGAATATTTCCACAGAAAAACTAAACTGAAGCATTCTCAGAAACGGCTTTGTGATGTTTGTGTTCGAGCCACAGAGTTTAACATTGCTTTTCATAGAGCAGTTTTGAAATATTCTTTTGGCAGAATCTGCAAGTGGACATTTGGAGCGCTTTCAGGCCTGTGGTGGAAAAGGCCTGAAAGCCTTTTCCTTTATCTTCACAGAAAGACGAGAGAGAAGCATTGTCAGAAACTTCTTTGTGATGATTGCATTCAACTCACAGAGTTGAAGATTCCTTTTGAAACAGCAGTTTCGAAACACTCTTTCTGTGGGATCCGCAAGGGGATATTTGGACCTCTTTGAAGGTTTCGTTGGAAACGGGATAATCTTCACCTAAAAGCTAAACGGAAGCATTCTCAGAAATTTCTTTGGGATGTTTGCATTCACCTCACAGAGTTGAACTTTCCCTTTGATAGCGCAGCTTTGACACACTTTTTCTACAATGTGCAAGTGGCTATTTAGCGGGCTTGGAGGACTGTGTTGGAAAAGGAAATATCTTCTCCTAAAAACGACATAGAAGCATTCTCAGAAACTGCTCTGTGATGATTGCATTCAACTCCCAGAGTTGAACATTCCTTTTGATAGAGCAGTTTGCAAACACTCTTTTTGTAGAATCTGCAAGTGGAGATTTGGACCGCTTTGAGGCCTGTGGTAGTGAAGGAAAGAACTTCATATAAAAACCAGACGGTAGCACTCTCAGAAAATTCTTTGTGACGATGGAGTTTAACTCAGGGAGCTGAACATTCGTTATGATGGAGCAGTTTCCAAACACACGTTTTGTAGAATCTGCAAGGGGATATTTGGACCTCTCTGAGGATTTCGTTGGAAACGGGATCAACTTCCCATAACTGAACGGAAGCAAACTCAGAACATTCTTTGTGATGTTTGTATTCAACTCACAGAGTTGAACCTTCCATTGATAGTTCAGGTTTGCAACACCCTTGTAGTAGAATCTGCAAGTGTATATTTTGACCACTTTGTAGCCCTTCGTTTGAAACGTCTATATCTTCACATCAAACCTAGACAGAAGCATTCTCAGAAAGTTTTCTGCGATGACTGCATTCAACTCACAGAGTTGAACAATCCTTCTGATGGAGCAGTTTTGAAACCCTCTTTCTTTGGAATCTGCAAGGGGATATGTGGACCTCTTTGAAGATTTCACTGGAAACGGGATCATCTTCACATAAAAACTAAACAGAAGCATTCTCGGAAACTACTTTGTGATGTTTGTATTCAACTCCCAGAGTTGAACTTTCCTTTTGAAAGAGCAGCTATGAAACACTCTTTTTCGAGAATCTGCAAGTGGACGTTTGGAGGGCTTTGAGGCCTGTGGTGGAAAAGGAAATATCTTCACATAAAAACTAGATAGAAGCATTCTCAGAAACAACTTTGTGAGGATGGCATTCAACTCATGGAGTTGAACAATCCTATTGATAGAGCAGATTGGAATCACTCTTTTTGTAGAATCTGCAAATGGAGATTTGGACTGCTTTGAGGCCTACGGTCGTATAGGAAGGAACTTCATATAAAAGGCAAACGGAAGCATTCTCAGAATATTCTTTGTGATGATGGAGTTTCACTCACAGAGCTGAACATGCCTTTTGATGGAGCAGTTTCCAAATACACTTTTGGTAGAATCTGCAGGTGGATATTTGGACCTCTCTGAGGATTTCGTTGGAAACGGGAATAATTTCCCATAACTAAACACAAACACTCTGAGAAAGTTCTTCATGATGAATGCATTTAACTCGCAGAGATGAACCTGCCTTTGAGAGTTCAGGTTCGAAACACTCTTTCTGTAGAATCTGCAAGTGGATATTTGGACCACTGGCTGGCCTTCGTTCGAAACGGGTATATGTTCACGTAAAAACTAAAGAGAAGCATTCTCAGAAACTTCTGAGTGATGATTGCATTCAAGTCACACAGTTGAACCCTCCTTTTGATGGAGCAGTTTTGAAACTGTCTTTTTGTAGAATCTGTAAGTGGATACGTGGACCTCTTTGAAGATTTCTTTGGAAACGGGAATATTTCCACAGAAAAACTAAACTGAAGCATTCTCAGAAACCGCTTTGTGATGTTTGTGTTCGAGCCACAGAGTTTAACATTGCTTTTCACAAAGCAGTTTTGAAATATTCTTTTGGCAGAATCTGCAAGTGGACATTTGGAGCGCTTTCAGGCCTGTGGTGGCAAAGGCCTGAACGCCTTTTCCTTTATGTTCACAGAAAGACGAGAGAGAAGCATTGTCAGAAACTTCTTTGTGATGATTGCATTCAACTCACAGAGTTGAAGATTCCTTTTGAAACAGCAGTTTCGAAACACTCTTTCTGTGGGATCCGCAAGGGGATATTTGGACCTCTTTGAAGGTTTCGTTGGAAACGGGATAATCTTCACCTAAAAGCTAAACGGAAGCATTCTCAGAAACTTCTTTGGGATGTTTGCATTCACCTCACAGAGTTGAACTTTCCCTTTGATAGCGCAGCTTTGACACACTTTTTCTACAATGTGCAAGTGGCTATTTAGCGGGCTTGGAGGACTGTGTTGGAAAAGGAAATATCTTCTCCTAAAAACGACATAGAAGCATTCTCAGAAACTGCTCTGTGATGATTGCATTCAACTCCCAGAGTTGAACATTCCTTTTGATAGAGCAGTTTGCAAACACTCTTTTTGTAGAATCTGCAAGTGGAGATTTGGACCGCTTTGAGGCCTGTGGTAGTGAAGGAAAGAACTTCATATAAAAACCAGACGGTAGCACTCTCAGAAAATTCTTTGTGACGATGGAGTTTAACTCAGGGAGCTGAACATTCGTTATGATGGAGCAGTTTCCAAACACACGTTTTGTAGAATCTGCAAGGGGATATTTAGACCTCTCTGAGGATTTCGTTGGAAACGGGATCAACTTCCCATAACTGAACGGAAGCAAACTCAGAACATTCTTTGTGATGTTTGTATTCAACTCACAGAGTTGAACCTTCCTTTGATAGTTCAGGTTTGCAACACCCTTGTAGTAGAATCTGCAAGTGTATATTTTGACCACTTTGTAGCCTTCGTTTGAAACGTCTATATCTTCACATCAAACCTAGACAGAAGCATTCTCAGAAAGTTTTCTGCGATGACTGCATTCAACTCACAGAGTTGAACAATCCTTCTGATGGAGCAGTTTTGAAACCCTCTTTCTTTGGAATCTGCAAGGGGATATGTGGACCTCTTTGAAGATTTCACTGGAAACGGGATCATCTTCACATAAAAACTAAACAGAAAGCATTCTCGGAAACTATTTTGTGATGTTTGCATTCAACTCCCAGAGTTGAACTTTCCTTTTGAAAGAGCAGCTATGAAACACTCTTTTTCGAGAATCTGCAAGTGGACGTTTGGAGGGCTTTGAGGCCTGTGGTGGAAAAGGAAATATCTTCACACAAAAACCAGATAGAAGCATTCTCAGAAACTACTTTGTGAGGATGGCATTCAACTCATGGAGTTGAACAATCCTATTGATAGAGCAGATTGGAATCACTCTTTTTATAGAATCTGCAAATGGAGATTTGGACTGCTTTGAGGCCTACGGTAGTACAGGAAGGAACTTCATATAAAAGGCAAACGGAAGCATTCTCAGAATATTCTTTGTGATGATGGAGTTTCACTCACAGAGCTGAACATGCCTTTTGATGGAGCAGTTTCCAAATACACTTTTGGTAGAATCTGCAGGTGGATATTTGGAGCTCTCTGAGGATTTCGTTGGAAACGGGAATAATTTCCCATAACTAAACACAAACACTCTGAGAAAGTTCTTCATGATGAATGCTTTTGACTCGCAGAGATGAACCTGCCTTTGAGAGTTCAGGTTCGAAACACTCTTTCTGTAGAATCTGCAAGTGGATATTTGGACCACTGGGTGGCCTTCGTTCGAAACGGGTATATGTTCACGTAAAAACTAAAGAGAAGCATTCTCAGAAACTTCTGAGTGATGATTGCATTCAAGTCACACAGTTGAACCCTCCTTTTGATGGAGCAGTTTTGAAACTGTCTTTTTGTAGAATCTGTAAGTGGATACGTGGACCTCTTTGAAGATTTCTTTGGAAACGGGAATATTTCCACAGAAAAACTAAACTGAAGCATTCTCAGAAACTGCTTTGTGATGTTTGTGTTCGAGCCACAGAGTTTAACATTGCTTTTCATAGAGCAGTTTTGAAATATTCTTTTCGCAGAATCTGCAAGTGGACATTTGGAGCGCTTTCAGGCCTGTGGTGGAAAAGGCCTGAAAGCCTTTTCCTTTATCTTCACAGAAAGACGAGAGAGAAGCATTGTCAGAAACTTCTTTGTGATGATTGCATTCAACTCACAGAGTTGAAGATTCCTTTTGAAACAGCAGTTTCGAAACACTCTTTCTGTGGGATCCGCAAGGGGATATTTGGACCTCTTTGAAGGTTTCGTTGGAAACGGGATAATCTTCACCTAAAAGCTAAACGGAAGCATTCTCAGAAACTTCTTTGGGATGTTTGCATTCACCTGACAGAGTTGAACTTTCCCTTTGATAGCGCAGCTTTGACACACTTTTTCTACAATGTGCAAGTGGCTATTTAGCGGGCTTGGAGGACTGTGTTGGAAAAGGAAATATCTTCTCCTAAAAACGACATAGAAGCATTCTCAGAAACTGCTCTGTGATGATTGCATTCAACTCCCAGAGTTGAACATTCCTTTTGATAGAGCAGTTTGCAAACACTCTTTTTGTAGAATCTGCAAGTGGAGATTTGGACCGCTTTGAGGCCTGTGGTAGTGAAGGAAAGAACTTCATATAAAAACCAGACGGTAGCACTCTCAGAAAATTCTTTGTGACGATGGAGTTTAACTCAGGGAGCTGAACATTCGTTATGATGGAGCAGTTTCCAAACACACGTTTTGTAGAATCTGTGAGGGGATATTTGGACCTCTCTGAGGATTTCGTTGGAAACGGGATCAACTTCCCATAACTGAACGGAAGCAAACTCAGAACATTCTTTGTGATGTTTGTATTCAACTCACAGAGTTGAACCTTCCTTTGATAGTTCAGGTTTGCAACACCCTTGTAGTAGAATCTGCAAGTGTATATTTTGACCACTTTGTAGCCTTCGTTTGAAACGTCTATATCTTCACATCAAACCTAGACAGAAGCATTCTCAGAAAGTTTTCTGCGATGACTGCATTCAACTCACAGAGTTGAACAATCCTTCTGATGGAGCAGTTTTGAAACCCTCTTTCTTTGGAATCTGCAAGGGGATATGTGGACCTCTTTGAAGATTTCACTGGAAACGGGATCATCTTCACATAAAAACTAAACAGAAGCATTCTCGGAAACTACTTTGTGATGTTTGTATTCAACTCCCAGAGTTGAACTTTCCTTTTGAAAGAGCAGCTATGAAACACTCTTTTTCGAGAATCTGCAAGTGGACGTTTGGAGGGCTTTGAGGCCTGTGGTGGAAAAGGAAATATCTTCACATAAAAACTAGATAGAAGCATTCTCAGAAACGACTTTGTGAGGATGGCATTCACCTCATGGAGTTGAACAATACTATTGATAGAGCAGATTGGAATCACTCTTTTTGTAGAATCTGCAAATGGAGATTTGGACTGCTTTGAGGCCTACGGTCGTATAGGAAGGAACTTCATATAAAAGGCAAACGGAAGCATTCTCAGAATATTCTTTGTGATGATGGAGTTTCACTCACAGAGCTGAACATGCCTTTTGATGGAGCAGTTTCCAAATACACTTTTGGTAGAATCTGCAGGTGGATATTTGGAGCTCTCTGAGGATTTCTTTGGAAACGGGAATAATTTCCCATAACTAAACACAAACACTCTGAGAAAGTTCTTCATGATGAATGCATTTAACTCGCAGAGATGAACCTGCCTTTGGGAGTTCAGGTTCGAAACACTCTTTCTGTAGAATCTGCAAGTGGATATTTGGACCACTGGGTGGCCTTCGTTCGAAACGGGTATATGTTCACGTAAAAACTAAAGAGAAGCATTCTCAGAAACTTCTGAGTGATGATTGCATTCAAGTCACACAGTTGAACCCTCCTTTTGATGGAGCAGTTTTGAAACTGTCTTTTTGTAGAATCTGTAAGTGGATACGTGGACCTCTTTGAAGATTTCTTTGGAAACGGGAATATTTCCACAGAAAAACTAAACTGAAGCATTCTCAGAAACCGCTTTGTGATGTTTGTGTTCGAGCCACAGAGTTTAACATTGCTTTTCACAGAGCAGTTTTGAAATATTCTTTTCGCAGAATCTGCAAGTGGACATTTGGAGCGCTTTCAGGCCTGTGGTGGAAAAGGCCTGAAAGCCTTTTCCTTTATCTTCACAGAAAGACGAGAGAGAAGCATTGTCAGAAACTTCTTTGTGATGATTGCATTCAACTCACAGAGTTGAAGATTCCTTTTGAAACAGCAGTTTCGAAACACTCTTTCTGTGGGATCCGCAAGGGGATATTTGGACCTCTTTGAAGGTTTCGTTGGAAACGGGATAATCTTCACCTAAAAGCTAAACGGAAGCATTCTCAGAAACTGCTCTGTGATGATTGCATTCAACTCCCAGAGTTGAACATTCCTTTTGATAGAGCAGTTTGCAAACACTCTTTTTGTAGAATCTGCAAGTGGAGATTTGGACCGCTTTGAGGTCTGTGGTAGTGAAGGAAAGAACTTCATATAAAAACCACACGGTAGCACTCTCAGAAAATTCTTTGTGACGATGGAGTTTAACTCAGGGAGCTGAACATTCGTTATGATGGAGCAGTTTCCAAACACACGTTTTGTAGAATCTGCAAGGGGATATTGGGACCTCTCTGAGGATTTCGTTGGAAACGGGATCAACTTCCCATAACTGAACGGAAGCAAACTCAGAACATTCTTTGTGATGTTTGTATTCAACTCACAGAGTTGAACCTTCCTTTGATAGTTCAGGTTTGCAACACCCTTGTAGTAGAATCTGCAAGTGTATATTTTGACCACTTTGTAGCCTTCGTTTGAAACGTCTATATCTTCACATCAAACCTAGAAAGAAGCATTCTCAGAAAGTTTTCTGCGATGACTGCATTCAACTCACAGAGTTGAACAATCCTTTTGATGGAGCAGTTTTGAAACCCTCTTTCTTTGGAATCTGCAAGGGGATATGTGGACCTCTTTGAAGATTTCACTGGAAACGGGATCATCTTCACATAAGAACTAAACAGAAGCATTCTCGGAAACTACTTTGTGATGTTTGTATTCAACTCCCAGAGTTGAACTTTCCTTTTGAAAGAGCAGCTATGAAACACTCTTTTTCGGGAATCTGCAAGTGGACGTTTGGAGGGCTTTGAGGCCTGTGGTGGAAAAGGAAATATCTTCACTTAAAAACTACATAGAAGCATTCTCAGAAACTACTTTGTGAGGATGGCATTCAACTCATGGAGTTGAACAATCCTATTGATAGAGCAGATTGGAATCACTCTTTTTGTAGAATCTGCAAATGGAGATTTGGACTGCTTTGAGGCCTACGGTAGTATAGGAAGGAACTTCATATAAAAGGCAAACGGAAGCATTCTCAGAATATTCTTTGTGATGACGGAGTTTCACTCACAGAGCTGAACATGCCTTTTCATGGAGCAGTTTCCAAATACACTTTTGGTACAATCTGCAGGTGGATATTTGGAGCTCTCTGAGGATTTCGTTGGAAACGGGAATAATTTCCCATAACTAAACACAAACACGCTGAGAAAGTTCTTCATGATGAATGCATTTAACTCGCAGAGATGAACCTGCCTTTGAGAGTTCAGGTTCAAAACACTCTTTCTGTAGAATCTGCAAGTGGATATTTGGACCACTGGCTGGCCTTCATTCGAAACGGGTATATGTTCACGTAAAAACTAAAGAGAAGCGTTCTCAGAAACTTCTGAGTGATGAATGCATTCAAGTCACACAGTTGAACCCTCCTTTTGATTGAGCAGTTTTTAAACTGTCTTTTTGTAGAATCTGTAAGTGGATGCGTGGACCTCTTTGAAGATTTCTTTGGAAACGGGAATATTTCCACAGAAAAACTAAACTGAAGCATTCTCAGAAACTGCTTTGTGATGTTTGTGTTCGAGCCGCAGAGTTTAACATTGCTTTTCATAGAGCAGTTTTGAAATATTCTTTTGGCAGAATCTGCAAGTGGACATTTGGAGCGCTTTCAGGCCTGTGGTGGAAATGGCCTGAAAGCCTTTTCCTTTATCTTCACAGAAAGACGAGAGAGAAGCATTGTCAGAAACTTCTTTGTGATGATTGCATTCAACTCACAGAGTTGAAGATTCCTTTTGAAACAGCAGTTTCGAAACACTCTTTCTGTGGGATCCGCAAGGGGATATTTGGACCTCTTTGAAGATTTCGTTGGAAACGGGATAATCTTCACTTAAAGCTAAACGGAAGCATTCTCAGAAACTTCTTTGGGATGTTTGCATTCACCTCACAGAGTTGAACTTTCCCTTTGATAGCGCAGCTTTGACACACTTTTTCTACAATGTGCAAGTGGATATTTAGCGGGCTTGGAGGACTGTGTTGGAAAAGGAAATATCTTCTCCTAAAAACGACATAGAAGCATTCTCAGAAACTGCTCTGTGATGATTGCATTCAACTCCCAGAGTTGAACATTCCTTTTGATAGAGCAGTTTGCAAACACTCTTTTTGTAGAATCTGCAAGTGGAGATTTGGACCGCTTTGAGGCCTGTGGTAGTAAAGGAAAGAACTTCATATAAAAACTAGACGGTAGCACTCTCAGAAAATTCTTTGTGACGATGGAGTTTAACTCAGAGAGCTGAACATTCGTTATGATGGAGCAGTTTCCAAACACACGTTTTGTAGAATCTGCAAGGGGATATTTGGACCTCTCTGAGGATTTCGTTGGAAACGGGATCAACTTCCCATAACTGAACGGAAGCAAACTCAGAACATTCTTTGTGATGTTTGCATTCATCTCACAGAGTTGAACCTTCCTTTGATAGTTGAGGTTTGCATCACCCTTGTAGTAGAATCTGCAAGTGTATATTTTGACCACTTTGTAGCCTTCGTTTGAAACGTCTATATCTTCACATCAAACCTAGACAGAAGCATTCTCAGAAAGTTTTCTGCGATGACTGCATTCAACTCACAGAGTTGAACAATCCTTTTGATGGAGCAGTTTTGAAACCCTCTTTTTTTGGAATCTGCAAGGGGATATGTGGACCTCTTTGAAGATTTCACTGGAAACGGGATCATCTTCACATAAGAACTAAACAGAAGCATTCTCGGAAACTACTTTGTGATGTTTGTATTCAACTCCCAGAGTTGAACTTTCCTTTTGAAAGAGCAGCTATGAAACACTCTTTTTCGGGAATCTGCAAGTGGACGTTTGGAGGGCTTTGAGGCCTGTGGTGGAAAAGGAAATATCTTCACATAAAAACTACATAGAAGCATTCTCAGAAACTACTTTGTGAGGATGGCATTCAACTCATGGAGTTGAACAATCCTATTGATAGAGCAGATTGGAATCACTCTTTTTGTAGAATCTGCAAATGGAGATTTGGACTGCTTTGAGGCCTACGGTAGTATAGGAAGGAACTTCATATAAAAGGCAAACGGAAGCATTCTCAGAATATTCTTTGTGATGACGGAGTTTCACTCACAGAGCTGAACATGCCTTTTCATGGAGCAGTTTCCAAATACACTTTTGGTACAATCTGCAGGTGGATATTTGGAGCTCTCTGAGGATTTCGTTGGAAACGGGAATAATTTCCCATAACTAAACACAAACACGCTGAGAAAGTTCTTCATGATGAATGCATTTAACTCACAGAGATGAACCTGCCTTTGAGAGTTCAGGTTCAAAACACTCTTTCTGTAGAATCTGCAAGTGGATATTTGGACCACTGGCTGGCCTTCGTTCGAAACGGGTATATGTTCACGTAAAAACTAAAGAGAAGCGTTCTCAGAAACTTCTGAGTGATGATTGCATTCAAGTCACACAGTTGAACCCTCCTTTTGATTGAGCAGTTTTGAAACTGTCTTTTTGTAGAATCTGTAAGTGGATGCATGGACCTCTTTGAAGATTTCTTTGGAAACGGGAATATTTCCACAGAAAAACTAAACTGAAGCATTCTCAGAAACTGCTTTGTGATGTTTGTGTTCGAGCCAGAGAGTTTAACATTGCTTTTCATAGAGCAGTTTTGAAATATTCTTTTGGCAGAATCTGCAAGTGGACATTTGGAGCGCTTTCAGGCCTGTGGTGGAAAAGGCCTGAAAGCCTTTTCCTTTATCTTCACAGAAAGACGAGAGAGAAGCATTGTCAGAAACTTCTTTGTGATGATTGCATTCAACTCACAGAGTTGAAGATTCCTTTTGAAACAGCAGTTTCGAAACACTCTTTCTGTGGGATCCGCAAGGGGATATTTGGACCTCTTTGAAGGTTTCGTTGGAAACGGGATAATCTTCACCTAAAAGCTAAACGGAAGCATTCTCAGAAACTTCTTTGGGATGTTTGCATTCACCTCACAGAGTTGAACTTTCCCTTTGATAGCGCAGCTTTGACACACTTTTTCTACAATGTGCAAGTGGCTATTTAGCGGGCTTGGAGGACTGTGTTGGAAAAGGAAATATCTTCTCCTAAAAACGACATAGAAGCATTCTCAGAAACTGCTCTGTGATGATTGCATTCAACTCCCAGAGTTGAACATTCCTTTTGATAGAGCAGTTTGCAAACACTCTTTTTGTAGAATCTGCAAGTGGAGATTTGGACCGCTTTGAGGCCTGTGATAGTGAAGGAAAGAACTTCATATAAAAACCAGACGGTAGCACTCTCAGAAAATTCTTTGTGACGATGGAGTTTAACTCAGGGAGCTGAACATTCGTTATGATGGAGCAGTTTCCAAACACACGTTTTGTAGAATCTGCGAGGGGATATTTGGACCTCTCTGAGTATTTCGTTGGAAACGGGATCAACTTCCCATAACTGAACGGAAGCAAACTCAGAACATTCTTTGTGATGTTTGTATTCAACTCACAGAGTTGAACCTTCCTTTGATAGTTCAGGTTTGCAACACCCTTGTAGTAGAATCTGCAAGTGTATATTTTGACCACTTTGTAGCCTTCGTTTGAAACGTCTATATCTTCACATCAAACCTAGACAGAAGCATTCTCAGAAAGTTTTCTGCGATGACTGCATTCAACTCACAGAGTTGAACAATCCTTCTGATGGAGCAGTTTTGAAACCCTCTTTCTTTGGAATCTGCAAGGGGATATGTGGACCTCTTTGAAGATTTCACTGGAAACGGGATCATCTTCACATAAAAACTAAACAGAAGCATTCTCGGAAACTATTTTGTGATGTTTGTATTCAACTCCCAGAGTTGAACTTTCCTTTTGAAAGAGCAGCTATGAAACACTCTTTTTCGAGAATCTGCAAGTGGACGTTTGGAGGGCTTTGAGGCCTGTGGTGGAAAAGGAAATATCTTCACACAAAAACCAGATAGAAGCATTCTCAGAAACTACTTTGTGAGGATGGCATTCAACTCATGGAGTTGAACAATCCTATTGATAGAGCAGATTGGAATCACTCTTTTTGTAGAATCTGCAAATGGAGATTTGGACTGCTTTGAGGCCTACGGTAGTACAGGAAGGAACTTCATATAAAAGGCAAACGGAAGCATTCTCAGAATATTCTTTGTGATGATGGAGTTTCACTGACAGAGCTGAACATGCCTTTTGATGGAGCAGTTTCCAAATACACTTTTGGTAGAATCTGCAGGTGGATATTTGGAGCTCTCTGAGGATTTCGTTGGAAACGGGAATAATTTCCCATAACTAAACACAAACACTCTGAGAAAGTTCTTCATGATGAATGCATTTAACTCGCAGAGATGAACCTGCCTTTGAGAGTTCAGGTTCGAAACACTCTTTCTGTATAATCTGCAAGTGGATATTTGGACCACTGGGTGGCCTTCGTTCGAAACGGGTATATGTTCACGTAAAAACTAAAGAGAAGCATTCTCAGAAACTTCTGAGTGATGATTGCATTCAAGTCACACAGTTGAACCCTCCTTTTGATGGAGCAGTTTTGAAACTGTCTTTTTGTAGAATCTGTAAGTGGATACGTGGACCTCTTTGAAGATTTCTTTGGAAACGGGAATATTTCCACAGAAAAACTAAACTGAAACATTCTCAGAAACCGCTTTGTGATGTTTGTGTTCCAGCCACAGAGTTTAACATTGCTTTTCATAGAGCAGTTTTGAAATATTCTTTTCGCAGAATCTGCAAGTGGACATTTGGAGCGCTTTCAGGCCTGTGGTGGAAAAGGCCTGAAAGCCTTTTCCTTTATCTTCACAGAAAGACGAGAGAGAAGCATTGTCAGAAACTTCTTTGTGATGATTGCATTCAACTCACAGAGTTGAAGATTCCTTTTGAAACAGCAGTTTCGAAACACTCTTTCTGTGGGATCCGCAAGGGGATATTTGGACCTCTTTGAAGGTTTCGTTGGAAACGGGATAATCTTCACCTAAAAGCTAAACGGAAGCATTCTCAGAAACTTCTTTGGGATGTTTGCATTCACCTCACAGAGTTGAAATTTCCCTTTGATAGCGCAGCTTTGACACACTTTTTCTACAATGTGCAAGTGGCTATTTAGCGGGCTTGGAGGACTGTGTTGGAAAAGGAAATATCTTCTCCTAAAAACGACATAGAAGCATTCTCAGAAACTGCTCTGTGATGATTGCATTCAACTCCCAGAGTTGAACATTCCTTTTGATAGAGCAGTTTGCAAACACTCTTTTTGTAGAATCTGCAAGTGGAGATTTGGACCGCTTTGAGGCCTGTGGTAGTGAAGGAAAGAACTTCATATAAAAACCAGACGGTAGCACTCTCAGAAAATTCTTTGTGACGATGGAGTTTAACTCAGGGAGCTGAACATTCGTTATGATGGAGCAGTTTCCAAACACACGTTTTGTAGAATCTGCGAGGGGATATTTGGACCTCTCTGAGGATTTCGTTGGAAACGGGATCAACTTCCCATAACTGAACGGAAGCAAACTCAGAACATTCTTTGTGATGTTTGTATTCAACTCACAGAGTTGAACCTTCCTTTGATAGTTCAGGTTTGCAACACCCTTGTAGTAGAATCTGCAAGTGTATATTTTGACCACTTTGTAGCCTTCGTTTGAAACGTCTATATCTTCACATCAAACCTAGACAGAAGCATTCTCAGAAAGTTTTCTGCGATGACTGCATTCAACTCACAGAGTTGAACAATCCTCTGATGGAGCAGTTTTGAAACCCTCTTTCTTTGGAATCTGCAAGGGGATATGTGGACCTCTTTGAAGATTTCACTGGAAACGGGATCATCTTCACATAAAAACTAAACAGAAGCATTCTCGGAAACTATTTTGTGATGTTTGTATTCAACTCCCAGAGTTGAACTTTCCTTTTGAAAGAGCAGCTATGAAACACTCTTTTTCGAGAATCTGCAAGTGGACGTTTGGAGGGCTTTGAGGCCTGTGGTGGAAAAGGAAATATCTTCACACAAAAACCAGATAGAAGCATTCTCAGAAACTACTTTGTGAGGATGGCATTCAACTCATGGAGTTGAACAATCCTATTGATAGAGCAGATTGGAATCACTCTTTTTATAGAATCTGCAAATGGAGATTTGGACTGCTTTGAGGCCTACGGTAGTACAGGAAGGAACTTCATATAAAAGGCAAACGGAAGCATTCTCAGAATATTCTTTGTGATGATGGAGTTTCACTCACAGAGCTGAACATGCCTTTTGATGGAGCAGTTTCCAAATACACTTTTGGTAGAATCTGCAGGTGGATATTTGGAGCTCTCTGAGGATTTCGTTGGAAACGGGAATAATTTCCCATAACTAAACACAAACACTCTGAGAAAGTTCTTCATGATGAATGCATTTAACTCGCAGAGATGAACCTGCCTTTGAGAGTTCAGGTTCGAAACACTCTTTCTGTATAATCTGCAAGTGGATATTTGGACCACTGGGTGGCCTTCGTTCGAAACGGGTATATGTTCACGTAAAAACTAAAGAGAAGCATTCTCAGATACTTCTGAGTGATGATTGCATTCAAGTCACACGGTTGAACACTCCTTTTGATGGAGCAGTTTTGAAACTGTCTTTTTGTAGAATCTGTAAGTGGATACGTGGACCTCTTTGAAGATTTCTTTGGAAACGGGAATATTTCCACAGAAAAACTAAACTGAAGCATTCTCAGAAACCGCTTTGTGATGTTTGTGTTCGAGCCACAGAGTTTAACATTGCTTTTCATAGAGCAGTTTTGAAATATTCTTTTGGCAGAATCTGCAAGTGGACATTTGGAGCGCTTTCAGGCCTGTGGTGGCAAAGGCCTGAAAGCCTTTTCCTTTATCTTCACAGAAAGACGAGAGAGAAGCATTGTCAGAAACTTCTTTGTGATGATTGCATTCAACTCACAGAGTTGAAGATTCCTTTTGAAACAGCAGTTTCGAAACACTCTTTCTGTGGGATCCGCAAGGGGATATTTGGACCTCTTTGAAGGTTTCGTTGGAAACGGGATAATCTTCACCTAAAAGCTAAACGGAAGCATTCTCAGAAACTTCTTTGGGATGTTTGCATTCACCTCACAGAGTTGAACTTTCCCTTTGATAGCGCAGCTTTGACACACTTTTTCTACAATGTGCAAGTGGATATTTAGCGGGCTTGGAGGACTGTGTTGGAAAAGGAAATATCTTCTAAAAACGACATAGAAGCATTCTCAGAAACTGCTCTGTGATGATTGCATTCAACTCCCAGAGTTGAACATTCCTTTTGATAGAGCAGTTTGCAAACACTCTTTTTGTAGAATCTGCAAGTGGAGATTTGGACCGCTTTGAGGCCTGTGGTAGTGAAGGAAAGAGCTTCATATAAAAACCAGACGGTAGCACTCTCAGAAAATTCTTTGTGACGATGGAGTTTAACTCAGGGAGCTGAACATTCGTTATGATGGAGCAGTTTCCAAACACACGTTTTGTAGAATCTGCAAGGGGATATTTGGACCTCTCTGAGGATTTCGTTGGAAACGGGATCAACTTCCCATAACTGAACGGAAGCAAACTCAGAACATTCTTTGTGATGTTTGTATTCAACTCACAGAGTTGAACCTTCCTTTGATAGTTCAGGTTTGCAACACCCTTGTAGTAGAATCTGCAAGTGTATATTTTGACCACTTTGTAGCCTTCGTTTGAAACGTCTATATCTTCACATCAAACCTAGACAGAAGCATTCTCAGAAAGTTTTCTGCGATGACTGCATTCAACTCACAGAGTTGAACAATCCTTCTGATGGAGCAGTTTTGAAACCCTCTTTCTTTGGAATCTGCAAGGGGATATGTGGACCTCTTTGAAGATTTCACTGGAAACGGGATCATCTTCATATAAAAACTAAACAGAAGCATTCTCAGAAACTATTTTGTGATGTTTGCATTCAACTCCCAGAGTTGAACTTTCCTTTTGAAAGAGCAGCTATGAAACACTCTTTTTCGAGAATCTGCAAGTGGACGTTTGGAGGGCTTTGAGGCCTGTGGTGGAAAAGGAAATATCTTCACACAAAAACCAGATAGAAGCATTCTCAGAAACTACTTTGTGAGGATGGCATTCAACTCATGGAGTTGAACAATCCTATTGATAGAGCAGATTGGAATCACTCTTTTTGTAGAATCTGCAAATGGAGATTTGGACTGCTTTGAGGCCTACGGTAGTACAGGAAGGAACTTCATATAAAAGGCAAACGGAAGCATTCTCAGAATATTCTTTGTGATGATGGAGTTTCACTCACAGAGCTGAACATGCCTTTTGATGGAGCAGTTTCCAAATACACTTTTGGTAGAATCTGCAGGTGGATATTTGGAGCTCTCTGAGGATTTCTTTGGAAACGGGAATAATTTCCCATAACTAAACACAAATACTCTGAGAAAGTTCTTCATGATGAATGCATTTAACTCGCAGAGATGAACCTGCCTTTGAGAGTTCAGGTTCGAAACACTCTTTCTGTAGAATCTGCAAGTGGATATTTGGACCACTGGGTGGCCTTCGTTCGAAACGGGTATATGTTCACGTAAAAACTAAAGAGAAGCATTCTCAGAAACTTCTGAGTGATGATTGCATTCAAGTCACACAGTTGAACCCTCCTTTTGATGGAGCAGTTTTGAAACTGTCTTTTTGTAGAATCTGTAAGTGGATACGTGGACCTCTTTGAAGATTTCTTTGGAAACGGGAATATTTCCACAGAAAAACTAAACTGAAGCATTCTCAGAAACTGCTTTGTGATGTTTGTGTTCGAGCCACAGAGTTTAACATTGCTTTTCATAGAGCAGTTTTGAAATATTCTTTTCGCAGAATCTGCAAGTGGACATTTGGAGCGCTTTCAGGCCTGTGGTGGAAAAGGCCTGAAAGCCTTTTCCTTTATCTTCACAGAAAGACGAGAGAGAAGCATTGTCAGAAACTTCTTTGTGATGATTGCATTCAACTCACAGAGTTGAAGATTCCTTTTGAAACAGCAGTTTTGAAACACTCTTTCTGTGGGATCCCCAAGGGGATATTTGGACCTCTTTGAAGGTTTTGTTGGAAACGGGATAATCTTCACCTAAAAGCTAAACGGAAGCACTCTCAGAAACTTCTTTGGGATGTTTGCATTCACCTCTCAGAGTTGAACTTTCCCTTTGATAGCGCAGCTTTGACACACTTTTTCTACAATGTGCAAGTGGCTATTTAGCGGGCTTGGAGGACTGTGTTGGAAAAGGAAATATCTTCTCCTAAAAACGACATAGAAGCATTCTCAGAAACTGCTCTGTGATGATTGCATTCAACTCCCAGAGTTGAACATTCCTTTTGATAGAGCAGTTTGCAAACACTCTTTTTGTAGAATCTGCAAGTGGAGATTTGGACCGCTTTGAGGCCTGTGGTAGTGAAGGAAAGAACTTCATATAAAAACCAGACGGTAGCACTCTCAGAAAATTCTTTGTGACGATGGAGTTTAACTCAGGGAGCTGAACATTCGTTATGATGGAGCAGTTTCCAAACACACGTTTTGTAGAATCTGCGAGGGGATATTTGGACCTCTCTGAGGATTTCGTTGGAAACGGGATCAACTTCCCATAACTGAACGGAAGCAAACTCAGAACATTCTTTGTGATGTTTGTATTCAATTCACAGAGTTGAACCTTCCTTTGATAGTTCAGGTTCGCAACACCCTTGTAGTAGAATCTGCAAGTGTATATTTTGACCACTTTGTAGCCTTCGTTTGAAACGTCTATATCTTCACATCAAACCTAGACAGAAGCATTCTCAGAAAGTTTTCTGCGATGACTGCATTCAACTCACAGAGTTGAACAATCCTTCTGATGGAGCAGTTTTGAAACCCTCTTTCTTTGGAATCTGCAAGGGGATATGTGGACCTCTTTGAAGATTTCACTGGAAACGGGATCATCTTCACATAAAAACTAAACAGAAGCATTCTCGGAAACTATTTTGTGATGTTTGTATTCAACTCCCAGAGTTGAACTTTCCTTTTGAAAGAGTAGCTATGAAACACTCTTTTTCGAGAATCTGCAAGTGGACGTTTGGAGGGCTTTGAGGCCTGTGGTGGAAAAGGAAATATCTTCACACAAAAACCAGATAGAAGCATTCTCAGAAACGACTTTGTGAGGATGGCATTCAACTCATGGAGTTGAACAATCCTATTGATAGAGCAGATTGGAATCACTCTTTTTGTAGAATCTGCAAATGGAGATTTGGACTGCTTTGAGGCCTACGGTAGTACAGGAAGGAACTTCATATAAAAGGCAAACGGAAGCATTCTCAGAATATTCTTTGTGATGATGGAGTTTCACTGACAGAGCTGAACATGCCTTTTGATGGAGCAGTTTCCAAATACACTTTTGGTAGAATCTGCAGGTGGATATTTGGAGCTCTCTGAGGATTTCGTTGGAAACGGGAATAATTTCCCATAACTAAACACAAACACTCTGAGAAAGTTCTTCATGATGAATGCATTTAACTCGCAGAGATGAACCTGCCTTTGAGAGTTCAGGTTCGAAACACTCTTTCTGTAGAATCTGCAAGTGGATATTTGGACCACTGGCTGGCCTTCGTTCGAAACGGGTATATGTTCACGTAAAAACTAAAGAGAAGCATTCTCAGAAACTTCTGAGTGATGATTGCATTCAAGTCACACAGTTGAACCCTCCTTTTGATGGAGCAGTTTTGAAACTGTCTTTTTGTAGAATCTGTAAGTGGATGCGTGGACCTCTTTGAAGATTTCTTTGGAAACGGGAATATTTCCACAGAAAAACTAAACTGAAGCATTCTCAGAAACCGCTTTGTGATGTTTGTGTTCGAGCCGCAGAGTTTAACATTGCTTTTCATAGAGCAGTTTTGAAATATTCTTTTGGCAGAATCTGCAAGTGGACATTTGGAGCGCTTTCAGGCCTGTGGTGGAAAAGGCCTGAAAGCCTTTTCCTTTATCTTCACAGAAAGACGAGAGAGAAGCATTGTCAGAAACTTCTTTGTGATGATTGCATTCAACTCACAGAGTTGAAGATTCCTTTTGAAACAGCAGTTTCGAAACACTCTTTCTGTGGGATCCGCAAGGGGATATTTGGACCTCTTTGAAGGTTTCGTTGGAAACGGGATAATCTTCACCTAAAAGCTAAACGGAAGCATTCTCAGAAACTTCTTTGGGATGTTTGCATTCACCTCACAGAGTTGAACTTTCCCTTTGATAGCGCAGCTTTGACACACTTTTTCTACAATGTGCAAGTGGCTATTTAGCGGGCTTGGAGGACTGTGTTGGAAAAGGAAATATCTTCTCCTAAAAACGACATAGAAGCATTCTCAGAAACTGCTCTGTGATGATTGCATTCAACTCCCAGAGTTGAACATTCCTTTTGATAGAGCAGTTTGCAAACACTCTTTTTGTAGAATCTGCAAGTGGAGATTTGGACCGCTTTGAGGCCTGTGGTAGTGAAGGAAAGAACTTCATATAAAAACCAGACGGTAGCACTCTCAGAAAATTCTTTGTGACGATGGAGTTTAACTCAGGGAGCTGAACATTCGTTATGATGGAGCAGTTTCCAAACACACGTTTTGTAGAATCTGCGAGGGGATATTTGGACCTCTCTGAGGATTTCTTTGGAAACGGGATCAACTTCCCATAACTGAACGGAAGCAAACTCAGAACATTCTTTGTGATGTTTGTATTCAACTCACAGAGTTGAACCTTCCTTTGATAGTTCAGGTTTGCAACACCCTTGTAGTAGAATCTGCAAGTGTATATTTTGACCACTTTGTAGCCTTCGTTTGAAACGTCTATATCTTCACATCAAACCTAGACAGAAGCATTCTCAGAAAGTTTTCTGCGATGACTGCATTCAACTCACAGAGTTGAACAATCCTTCTGATGGAGCAGGTTTGAAACCCTCTTTCTTTGGAATCTGCAAGGGGATATGTGGACCTCTTTGAAGATTTCACTGGAAACGGGATCATCTTCACATAAAAACTAAACAGAAGCATTCTCGGAAACTACTTTGTGATGTTTGTATTCAACTCCCAGAGTTGAACTTTCCTTTTGAAAGAGCAGCTATGAAACACTCTTTTTCGAGAATCTGCAAGTGGACGTTTGGAGGGCTTTGAGGCCTGTGGTGGAAAAGGAAATATCTTCACATAAAAACTAGATAGAAGCATTCTCAGAAACGACATTGTGAGGATGGCATTCAACTCATGGAGTTGAACAATCCTATTGATAGAGGAGATTGGAATCACTCTTTTTGTAGAATCTGCAAATGGAGATTTGGACTGCTTTGAGGCCTACGGTAGTATAGGAAGGAACTTCATATAAAAGGCAAACGGAAGCATTCTCAGAATATTCTTTGTGATGATGGAGTTTCACTCACAGACCTGAACATGCCTTTTGATGGAGCAGTTTCCAAATACACTTTTGGTAGAATCAGCAGGTGGATATTTGGAGCTCTCTGAGGATTTCGTTGGAAACGGGAATAATTTCCCATAACTAAACACAAAACACTCTGAGAAAGTTCTTCATGATGAATGCATTTAACTCGCAGAGATGAACCTGCCTTTGAGAGTTCAGGTTCGAAACACTCTTTCTGTAGAATCTGCAAGTGGATATTTGTACCACTGGCTGGCCTTCGTTCGAAACGGGTATATGTTCACGTAAAAACTAAAGAGAAGCGTTCTCAGAAACTTCTGAGTGATGATTGCATTCAAGTCACACAGTTGAACCCTCCTTTTGATTGAGCAGTTTTGAAACTGTCTTTTTGTAGAATCTGTAAGTGGATGCGTGGACCTCTTTGAAGATTTCTTTGGAAACGGGAATATTTCCACAGAAAAACTAAACTGAAGCATTCTCAGAAACTGCTTTGTGATGTTTGTGTTCGAGCCACAGAGTTTAACATTGCTTTTCATAGAGCAGTTTTGAAATATTCTTTTGGCAGAATCTGCAAGTGGTCATTTGGAGCGCTTTCAGGCCTGTGGTGGAAAAGGCCTGAAAGCCTTTTCCTTTATCTTCACAGAAAGACGAGAGAGAAGCATTGTCAGAAACTTCTTTGTGATGATTGCATTCAACTCACAGAGTTGAAGATTCCTTTTGAAACAGCAGTTTCGAAACACTCTTTCTGTGGGATCCGCAAGGGGATATTTGGACCTCTTTGAAGATTTCGTTGGAAACGGGATAATCTTCACCTAAAAGCTAAACGGAAGCATTCTCAGAAACTTCTTTGGGATGTTTGCATTCACCTCACAGAGTTGAACTTTCCCTTTGATAGCGCAGCTTCGACACACTTTTTCTACAATGTGCAAGTGGCTATTTAGCGGGCTTGGAGGACTGTGTTGGAAAAGGAAATATCTTCTCCTAAAAACGACATAGAAGCATTCTCAGAAACTGCTCTGTGATGATTGCATTCAACTCCCAGAGTTGAACATTCCTTTTGATAGAGCAGTTTGCAAACACTGTTTTTGTAGAATCTGCAAGTGGAGATTTGGACCGCTTTGAGGCCTGTGGTAGTAAAGGAAAGAACTTCATATAAAAACCAGACGGTAGCACTCTCAGAAAATTCTTTGTGACGATGGAGTTTAACTCAGAGAGCTGAACATTCGTTATGATGGAGCAGTTTCCAAACACACGTTTTGTAGAATCTGCAAGGGGATATTTGGACCTCTCTGAGGATTTCGTTGGAAACGGGATCAACTTCCCATAACTGAACAGAAGCAAACTGAGAACATTCTTTGTGATGTTTGTATTCAACTCACAGAGTTGAACCTTCCTTTGATAGTTGAGGTTTGCAACACCCTTGTAGTAGAATCTGCAAGTGTATATTTTGACCACTTTGTAGCCTTCGTTTGAAACGTCTATATCTTCACCTCAAACCTAGACCGAAGCATTCTCAGAAAGTTTTCTGCGATGACTGCATTCAACTCACAGAGTTGAACAATCCTTTTGATGGAGCAGTTTTGAAACCCTCTTTCTTTGGAATCTGCAAGGGGATATGTGGACCTCTTTGAAGATTTCACTGGAAACGGGATCATCTTCACATAAGAACTAAACAGAAGCATTCTCGGAAACTACTTTGTGATGTTTGTATTCAACTCCCAGAGTTGAACTTTCCTTTTGAAAGAGCAGCTATGAAACACTCTTTTTCGAGAATCTGCAAGTGGACGTTTGGAGGGCTTTGAGGCCTGTGGTGGAAAAGGAAATATCTTCACATAAAAACTAGATAGAAGCATTCTCAGAAACGACTTTGTGAGGATGGCATTCAACTCATGGAGTTGAACAATCCTATTGATAGAGCAGATTGGAATCACTCTTTTTGTAGAATCTGCAAATGGAGATTTGGACTGCTTTGAGGCCTACGGTAGTATAGGAAGGAACTTCATATAAAAGGCAAACGGAAGCATTCTCAGAATATTCTTTGTGATGATGGAGTTTCACTCACAGAGCTGAACATGCCTTTTGATGGAGCAGTTTCCAAATACACTTTTGGTAGAATCTGCAGGTGGATATTTGGACCTCTCTGAGGATTTCGTTGGAAACGGGAATAATTTCCTATACCTAAACACAAACACTCTGAGAAAGTTCTTCATGATGAATGCATTGAACTCGCAGAGATGAACCTGCCTTTGAGAGTTCAGGTTCGAAACACTCTTTCTGTAGAATCTGCAAGTGGATATTTGGACCACTGTGTGGCCTTCGTTCGAAACGGGTATATGTTCACGTAAAAACTAAAGAGAAGCGTTCTCAGAAACTTCTGAGTGATGATTGCATTCAAGTCACACGGTTGAACCCTCCTTTTGATTGAGCAGTTTTGAAACTGTCTTTTTGTAGAATCTGTAAGTGGATGCGTGGACCTCTTTGAAGATTTCTTTTGAAACGGGAATATTTCCACAGAAAAACTAAACTGAAGCATTCTCAGAAACTGCTTTGTGATGTTTGTGTTCGAGCCACAGAGTTTAACATTGCTTTTCATAGAGCAGTTTTGAAATATTCTTTTGGCAGAATCTGCAAGTGGACATTTGGAGCGCTTTCAGGCCTGTGGTGGAAAAGGCCTGAAAGCCTTTTCCTTTATCTTCACAGGAAGACGAGAGAGAAGCATTGTCAGAAACTTCTTTGTGATGATTGCATTCAACTCACAGAGTTGAAGATTCCTTTTGAAACAGCAGTTTCGAAACACTCTTTCTGTGGGATCCACAAGGGGATATTTGGACCTCTTTGAAGGTTTCGTTGGAAACGGGATAATCTTCACCTAAAAGCTAAACGGAAGCACTCTCAGAAACTTCTTTGGGATGTTTGCATTCACCTCTCAGAGTTGAACTTTCCCTTTGATAGCGCAGCTTTGACACACTTTTTCTACAATGTGCAAGTGGCTATTTAGCGGGCTTGGAGGACTGTGTTGGAAAAGGAAATATCTTCTCCTAAAAACGACATAGAAGCATTCTCAGAAACTGCTCTGTGATGATTGCATTCAACTCCCAGAGTTGAACATTCCTTTTGATAGAGCAGTTTGCAAACACTCTTTTTGTAGAATCTGCAAGTGGAGATTTGGACCGCTTTGAGGCCTGTGGTAGTGAAGGAAAGAACTTCATATAAAAACCAGACGGTAGCACTATCAGAAAATTCTTTGTGACGATGGAGTTTAACTCAGGGAGCTGAACATTCGTTATGATGGAGCAGTTTCCAAACACACGTTTTGTAGAATCTGCGAGGGGATATTTGGACCTCTCTGAGGATTTCGTTGGAAACGGGATCAACTTCCCATAACTGAACGGAAGCAAACTCAGAACATTCTTTGTGATGTTTGTATTCAACTCACAGAGTTGAACCTTCCTTTGATAGTTCAGGTTTGCAACACCCTTGTAGTAGAATCTGCAAGTGTATATTTTGACCACTTTGTAGCTTTCGTTTGAAACGTCTATATCTTCACATCAAACCTAGACAGAAGCATTCTCAGAAAGTTTTCTGCGATGACTGCATTCAACTCACAGAGTTGAACAATCCTTTTGATGGAGCAGTTTTGAAACCCTCTTTCTTTGGAATCTGCAAGGGGATATGTGGACCTCTTTGAAGATTTCACTGGAAACGGGATCATCTTCACATAAAAACTAAACAGAAGCAATCTCGGAAACTATTTTGTGATGTTTGTATTCAACTCCCAGAGTTGAACTTTCCTTTTGAAAGAGCAGCTATGAAACACTCTTTTTCGAGAATCTGCAAGTGGACGTTTGGAGGGCTTTGAGGCCTGTGGTGGAAAAGGAAATATCTTCACACAAAAACCAGATAGAAGCATTCTCAGAAACTACTTTGTGAGGATGGCATTCAACTCATGGAGTTGAACAATCCTATTGATAGAGCAGATTGGAATCACTCTTTTGTAGAATCTGCAAATGGAGATTTGGACTGCTTTGAGGCCTACGGTCGTATAGGAAGGAACTTCATATAAAAGGCAAACGGAAGCATTCTCAGAATATTCTTTGTGATGATGGAGTTTCACTCACAGAGCTGAACATGCCTTTTGATGGAGCAGTTTCCAAATACACTTTTGGTAGAATCTGCAGGTGGATATTTGGAGCTCTCTGAGGATTTCGTTGGAAACGGGAATAATTTCCCATAACTAAACACAAACACTCTGAGAAAGTTCTTCATGATGAATGCATTTAACTCGCAGAGATGAACCTGCCTTTGAGAGTTCAGGTTCGAAACACTCTTTCTGTAGAATCTGCAAGTGGATATTTGGACCACTGGGTGGCCTTCGTTCGAAACGGGTATATGTTCACGTAAAAACTAAAGAGAAGCATTCTCAGAAACTTCTGAGTGATGATTGCATTCAAGTCACACGGTTGAACCCTCCTTTTGATGGAGCAGTTTTGAAACTGTCTTTTTGTAGAATCTGTAAGTGGATACGTGGACCTCTTTGAAGATTTCTTTGGAAACGGGAATATTTCCACAGAAAAACTAAACTGAAGCATTCTCAGAAACCGCTTTGTGATGTTTGTGTTCGAGCCGCAGAGTTTAACATTGCTTTTCATAGAGCAGTTTTGAAATATTCTTTTGGCAGAATCTGCAAGTGGACATTTGGAGCGCTTTCAGGCCTGTGGTGGCAAAGGCCTGAAAGCCTTTTCCTTTATCTTCACAGAAAGACGAGAGAGAAGCATTGTCAGAAACTTCTTTGTGATGATTGCATTCAACTCACAGAGTTGAAGATTCCTTTTGAAACAGCAGTTTCGAAACACTCTTTCTGTGGGATCCGCAAGGGGATATTTGGACCTCTTTGAAGGTTTCGTTGGAAACGGGATAATCTTCACCTAAAAGCTAAACGGAAGCATTCTCAGAAACTTCTTTGGGATGTTTGCATTCACCTCACAGAGTTGAACTTTCCCTTTGATAGCGCAGCTTTGACACACTTTTTCTACAATGTGCAAGTGGCTATTTAGCGGGCTTGGAGGACTGTGTTGGAAAAGGAAATATCTTCTCCTAAAAACGACATAGAAGCATTCTCAGAAACTGCTCTGTGATGATTGCATTCAACTCCCAGAGTTGAACATTCCTTTTGATAGAGCAGTTTGCAAACACTCTTTTTGTAGAATCTGCAAGTGGAGATTTGGACCGCTTTGAGGCCTGTGGTAGTGAAGGAAAGAACTTCATATAAAAACCAGACGGTAGCACTCTCAGAAAATTCTTTGTGACGATGGAGTTTAACTCAGGGAGCTGAACATTCGTTATGATGGAGCAGTTTCCAAACACACGTTTTGTAGAATCTGCAAGGGGATATTTGGACCTCTCTGAGGATTTCGTTGGAAACGGGATCAACTTCCCATAACTGAACGGAAGCAAACTCAGAACATTCTTTGTGATGTTTGTATTCAACTCACAGAGTTGAACCTTCCTTTGATAGTTCAGGTTTGCAACACCCTTGTAGTAGAATCTGCAAGTGTATATTTTGACCACTTTGTAGCCTTCGTTTGAAACGTCTATATCTTCACATCAAACCTAGACAGAAGCATTCTCAGAAAGTTTTCTGCGATGACTGCATTCAACTCACAGAGTTGAACAATCCTTCTGATGGAGCAGTTTTGAAACCCTCTTTCTTTGGAATCTGCAAGGGGATATGTGGACCTCTTTGAAGATTTCACTGGAAACGGGATCATCTTCACATAAAAACTAAACAGAAGCATTCTCGGAAACTACTTTGTGATGTTTGTATTCAACTCCCAGAGTTGAACTTTCCTTTTGAAAGAGCAGCTATGAAACACTCTTTTTCGAGAATCTGCAAGTGGACGTTTGGAGGGCTTTGAGGCCTGTGGTGGAAAAGGAAATATCTTCACATAAAACTAGATAGAAAACATTCTCAGAAACGACTTTGTGAGGATGGCATTCAACTCATGGAGTTGAACAATCCTATTGATAGAGCAGATTGGAATCACTCTTTTTGTAGAATCTGCAAATGGAGATTTGGACTGCTTTGAGGCCTACGGTAGTATAGGAAGGAACTTCATATAAAAGGCAAACGGAAGCATTCTCAGAATATTCTTTGTGATGATGGAGTTTCACTCACAGAGCTGAACATGCCTTTTGATGGAGCAGTTTCCAAATACACTTTTGGTAGAATCTGCAGGTGGATATTTGGAGCTCTCTGAGGATTTCGTTGGAAACGGGAATAATTTCCCATAACTAAACACAAACACTCTGAGAAAGTTCTTCATGATGAATGCATTTAACTCGCAGAGATGAACCTGCCTTTGAGAGTTCAGGTTCGAAACACTCTTTCTGTAGAATCTGCAAGTGGATATTTGGACCACTGGCTGGCCTTCGTTCGAAACGGGTATATGTTCACGTAAAAACTAAAGAGAAGCATTCTCAGAAACTTCTGAGTGATGATTGCATTCAAGTCACACAGTTGAACCCTCCTTTTGATGGAGCAGTTTTGAAACTGTCTTTTTGTAGAATCTGTAAGTGGATACGTGGACCTCTTTGAAGATTTCTTTGGAAACGGGAATATTTCCACAGAAAAACTAAACTGAAGCATTCTCAGAAACCGCTTTGTGATGTTTGTGTTCGAGCCACAGAGTTTAACATTGCTTTTCACAAAGCAGTTTTGAAATATTCTTTTGGCAGAATCTGCAAGTGGACATTTGGAGCGCTTTCAGGCCTGTGGTGGCAAAGGCCTGAACGCCTTTTCCTTTATGTTCACAGAAAGACGAGAGAGAAGCATTGTCAGAAACTTCTTTGTGATGATTGCATTCAACTCACAGAGTTGAAGATTCCTTTTGAAACAGCAGTTTCGAAACACTCTTTCTGTGGGATCCGCAAGGGGATATTTGGACCTCTTTGAAGGTTTCGTTGGAAACGGGATAATCCTCACCTAAAAGCTAAACGGAAGCATTCTCAGAAACTTCTTTGGGATGTTTGCATTCACCTCACAGAGTTGAACTTTCCCTTTGATAGCGCAGCTTTGACACACTTTTTCTACAATGTGCAAGTGGCTATTTAGCGGGCTTGGAGGACTGTGTTGGAAAAGGAAATATCTTCTCCTAAAAACGACATAGAAGCATTCTCAGAAACTGCTCTGTGATGATTGCATTCAACTCCCAGAGTTGAACATTCCTTTTGATAGAGCAGTTTGCAAACACTCTTTTTGTAGAATCTGCAAGTGGAGATTTGGACCGCTTTGAGGCCTGTGGTAGTGAAGGAAAGAACTTCATATAAAAACCAGACGGTAGCACTCTCAGAAAATTCTTTGTGACGATGGAGTTTAACTCAGGGAGCTGAACATTCGTTACGATGGAGCAGATTCCAAACACACGTTTTGTAGAATCTGCAAGGGGATATTTGGACCTCTCTGAGGATTTCGTTGGAAACGGGATCAACTTCCCATAACTGAACGGAAGCAAACTCAGAACATTCTTTGTGATGTTTGTATTCAATTCACAGAGTTGAACCTTCCTTTGATAGTTCAGGTTTGCAACACCCTTGTAGTAGAATCTGCAAGTGTATATTTTGACCACTTTGTAGCCTTCGTTTGAAACGTCTATATCTTCACATCAAACCTAGACAGAAGCATTCTCAGAAAGTTTTCTGCGATGACTGCATTCAACTCACAGAGTTGAACAATCCTTCTGATGGAGCAGTTTTGAAACCCTCTTTCTTTGGAATCTGCAAGGGGATATGTGGACCTCTTTGAAGATTTCACTGGAAACGGGATCATCTTCACATAAAAACTAAACAGAAGCATTCTCGGAAACTACTTTGTGATGTTTGTATTCAACTCCCAGAGTTGAACTTTCCTTTTGAAAGAGCAGCTATGAAACACTCTTTTTCGAGAATCTGCAAGTGGACGTTTGGAGGGCTTTGAGGCCTGTGGTGGAAAAGGAAATATCTTCACATAAAACTAGATAGAAGCATTCTCAGAAACTACTTTGTGAGGATGGCATTCAACTCATGGAGTTGAACAATCCTATTGATAGAGCAGATTGGAATCACTCTTTTTGTAGAATCTGCAAATGGAGATTTGGACTGCTTTGAGGCCTACGGTCGTATAGGAAAGAACTTCATATAAAAGGCAAACGGAAGCATTCTCAGAATATTCTTTGTGATGATGGAGTTTCACTCACAGAGCTGAACATGCCTTTTGATGGAGCAGTTTCCAAATACACTTTTGGTAGAATCTGCAGGTGGATATTTGGAGCTCTCTGAGGATTTCATTGGAAATGGGAATAATTTCCCATAACTAAACACAAACACTCTGAGAAAGTTCTTCATGATGAATGCATTTAACTCGCAGAGATGAACCTGCCTTTGAGAGTTCAGGTTCGAAACACTCTTTCTGTAGAATCTGCAAGTGGATATTTGGACCACTGGCTGGTCTTCGTTCGAAACGGGTATATGTTCACGTAAAAACTAAAGAGAAGCATTCTCAGAAACTTCTGAGTGATGATTGCATTCAAGTCACACAGTTGAACCCTCCTTTTGATGGAGCAGTTTTGAAACTGTCTTTTTGTAGAATCTGTAAGTGGATACGTGGACCTCTTTGAAGATTTCTTTGGAAACGGGAATATTTCCACAGAAAAACTAAACTGAAGCATTCTCAGAAACTGCTTTGTGATGTTTGTGTTCGAGCCACAGAGTTTAACATTGCTTTTCATAGAGCAGTTTTGAAATATTCTTTTGGCAGAATCTGCAAGTGGACTTTTGGAGCGCTTTCAGGCCTGTGGTGGAAAAGGCCTGAAAGCCTTTTCCTTTATCTTCACAGAAAGACGAGAGAGAAGCATTGTCAGAAACTTCTTTGTGATGATTGCATTCAACTCACAGAGTTGAAGATTCCTTTTGAAACAGCAGTTTCGAAACACTCTTTCTGTGGGATCCGCAAGGGGATATTTGGACCTCTTTGAAGGTTTCGTTGGAAACGGGATAATCTTCACCTAAAAGCTAAACGGAAGCATTCTCAGAAACTTCTTTGGGATGTTTGCATTCACCTCACAGAGTTGAACTTTCCCTTTGATAGCGCAGCTTTGACACACTTTTTCTACAATGTGCAAGTGGCTATTTAGCGGGCTTGGAGGACTGTGTTGGAAAAGGAAATATCTTCTCCTAAAAACGACATAGAAGCATTCTCAGAAACTGCTCTGTGATGATTGCATTCAACTCCCAGAGTTGAACATTCCTTTTGATAGAGCAGTTTGCAAACACTCTTTTTGTAGAATCTGCAAGTGGAGATTTGGACCGCTTTGAGGCCTGTGGTAGTGAAGGAAAGAACTTCATATAAAAACCAGACGGTAGCACTCTCAGAAAATTCTTTGTGACGATGGAGTTTAACTCAGGGAGCTGAACATTCGTTATGATGGAGCAGTTTCCAAACACACGTTTTGTAGAATCTGCGAGGGGATATTTGGACCTCTCTGAGGATTTCGTTGGAAACGGGATCAACTTCCCATAACTGAACGGAAGCAAACTCAGAACATTCTTTGTGATGTTTGTATTCAATTCACAGAGTTGAACCTTCCTTTGATAGTTCAGGTTTGCAACACCCTTGTAGTAGAATCTGCAAGTGTATATTTTGACCACTTTGTAGCCTTCGTTTGAAACGTCTATATCTTCACATCAAACCTAGACAGAAGCATTCTCAGAAAGTTTTCTGCGATGACTGCATTCAACTCACAGAGTTGAACAATCCTTCTGATGGAGCAGTTTTGAAACCCTCTTTCTTTGGAATCTGCAAGGGGATATGTGGACCTCTTTGAAGATTTCACTGGAAACGGGATCATCTTCACATAAAAACTAAACAGAAGCATTCTCGGAAACTATTTTGTGATGTTTGTATTCAACTCCCAGAGTTGAACTTTCCTTTTGAAAGAGCAGCTATGAAACACTCTTTTTCGAGAATCTGCAAGTGGACGTTTGGAGGGCTTTGAGGCCTGTGGTGGAAAAGGAAATATCTTCACACAAAAACCAGATAGAAGCATTCTCAGAAACTACTTTGTGAGGATGGCATTCAACTCATGGAGTTGAACAATCCTATTGATAGAGCAGATTGGAATCACTCTTTTTGTAGAATCTGCAAATGGAGATTTGGACTGCTTTGAGGCCTACGGTAGTACAGGAAGGAACTTCATATAAAAGGCAAACGGAAGCATTCTCAGAATATTCTTTGTGATGATGGAGTTTCACTCACAGAGCTGAACATGCCTTTTGATGGAGCAGTTTCCAAATACACTTTTGGTAGAATCTGCAGGTGGATATTTGGAGCTCTCTGAGGATTTCGTTGGAAACGGGAATAATTTCCCATAACTAAACACAAACACTCTGAGAAAGTTCTTCATGATGAATGCATTTAACTCGCAGAGATGAACCTGCCTTTGAGAGTTCAGGTTCGAAACACTCTTTCTGTAGAATCTGCAAGTGGATATTTGGACCACTGGGTGGCCTTCGTTCGAAACGGGTATATGTTCACGTAAAAACTAAAGAGAAGCATTCTCAGAAACTTCTGAGTGATGATTGCATTCAAGTCACACAGTTGAACCCTCCTTTTGATGGAGCAGTTTTGAAACTGTCTTTTTGTAGAATCTGTAAGTGGATACGTGGACCTCTTTGAAGATTTCTTTGGAAACGGGAATATTTCCACAGAAAAACTAAACTGAAGCATTCTCAGAAACTGCTTTGTGATGTTTGTGTTCGAGCCACAGAGTTTAACATTGCTTTTCATAGAGCAGTTTTGAAATATTCTTTTGGCAGAATCTGCAAGTGGACATTTGGAGCGCTTTCAGGCCTGTGGTGGAAAAGGCCTGAAAGCCTTTTCCTTTATCTTCACAGAAAGACGAGAGAGAAGCATTGTCAGAAACTTCTTTGTGATGATTGCATTCAACTCACAGAGTTGAAGATTCCTTTTGAAACAGCAGTTTCGAAACACTCTTTCTGTGGGATCCGCAAGGGGATATTTGGACCTCTTTGAAGGTTTCGTTGGAAACGGGATAATCTTCACCTAAAAGCTCAACGGAAGCATTCTCAGAAACTTCTTTGGGATGTTTGCATTCACCTCACAGAGTTGAACTTTCCCTTTGATAGCGCAGCTTTGACACACTTTTTCTACAATGTGCAAGTGGCTATTTAGCGGGCTTGGAGGACTGTGTTGGAAAAGGAAATATCTTCTCCTAAAAACGACATAGAAGCATTCTCAGAAACTGCTCTGTGATGATTGCATTCAACTCCCAGAGTTGAACATTCCTTTTGATAGAGCAGTTTGCAAACACTCTTTTTGTAGAATCTGCAAGTGGAGATTTGGACCGCTTTGAGGCCTGTGGTAGTGAAGGAAAGAACTTCATATAAAAACCAGACGGTAGCACTCTCAGAAAATTCTTTGTGACGATGGAGTTTAACTCAGGGAGCTGAACATTCGTTATGATGGAGCAGTTTCCAAACACACGTTTTGTAGAATCTGCGAGGGGATATTTGGACCTCTCTGAGGATTTCGTTGGAAACGGGATCAACTTCCCATAACTGAACGGAAGCAAACTCAGAACATTCTTTGTGACGTTTGTATTCAACTCACAGAGTTGAACCTTCCTTTGATAGTTCAGGTTTGCAACACCCTTGTAGTAGAATCTGCAAGTGTATATTTTGACCACTTTGTAGCCTTCGTTTGAAACGTCTATATCTTCACATCAAACCTAGACAGAAGCATTCTCAGAAAGTTTTCTGCGATGACTGCATTCAACTCACAGAGTTGAAAAATCCTTCTGATGGAGCAGTTTTGAAACCCTCTTTCTTTGGAATCTGCAAGGGGATATGTGGACCTCTTTGAAGATTTCACTGGAAACGGGATCATCTTCACATAAAAACTAAACAGAAGCATTCTCGGAAACTATTTTGTGATGTTTGTATTCAACTCCCAGAGTTGAACTTTCCTTTTGAAAGAGCAGCTATGAAACACTCTTTTTCGAGAATCTGCAAGTGGACGTTTGGAGGGCTTTGAGGCCTGTGGTGGAAAAGGAAATATCTTCACACAAAAACCAGATAGAAGCATTCTCAGAAACTACTTTGTGAGGATGGCATTCAACTCATGGAGTTGAACAATCCTATTGATAGAGCAGATTGGAATCACTCTTTTTGTAGAATCTGCAAGTGGAGATTTGGACCGCTTTGAGGTCTGTGGTAGTGAAGGAAAGAACTTCATATAAAAACCAGACGGTAGCACTCTCAGAAAATTCTTTGTGACGATGGAGTTTAACTCAGGGAGCTGAACATTCGTTATGATGGAGCAGTTTCCAAACACACGTTTTGTAGAATCTGCAAGGGGATATTTGGACCTCTCTGAGGATTTCGTTGGAAACGGGATCAACTTCCCATAACTGAACGGAAGCAAACTCAGAACATTCTTTGTGATGTTTGTATTCAACTCACAGAGTTGAACCTTCCTTTGATAGTTCAGGTTTGCAACACCCTTGTAGTAGAATCTGCAAGTGTATATTTTGACCACTTTGTAGCCTTCGTTTGAAACGTCTATATCTTCACATCAAACCTAGACAGAAGCATTCTCAGAAAGTTTTCTGCGATGACTGCATTCAACTCACAGAGTTGAACAATCCTTCTGATGGAGCAGTTTTGAAACCCTCTTTCGTTGGAATCTGAAAGGGGATATGCGGACCTCTTTGAAGATTTCACTGGAAACGGGATCATCTTCACATAAAAACTAAACAGAAGCATTCTCGGAAACTACTTTGTGATGTTTGTATTCAACTCCCAGAGTTGAACTTTCCTTTTGAAAGAGCAGCTATGAAACACTCTTTTTCGAGAATCTGCAAGTGGACGTTTGGAGGGCTTTGAGGCCTGTGGTGGAAAAGGAAATATCTTCACATAAAAACTAGATAGAAGCATTCTCAGAAACTACTTCGTGAGGATGGCATTCAACTCATGGAGTTGAACAATCCTATTGATAGAGCAGATTGGAATCACTCTTTTTGTAGAATCTGCAAATGGAGATTTGGACTGCTTTGAGGCCTACGGTAGTATAGGAAGGAACTTCATATAAAAGGCAAACGGAAGCATTCTCAGAATATTCTTTGTGATGATGGAGTTTCACTCACAGAGCTGAACATGCCTTTTGATGGAGCAGTTTCCAAATACACTTTTGGTAGAATCTGCAGGTGGATATTTGGAGCTCTCTGAGGATTTCGTTGGAAACGGGAATAATTTCCCATAACTAAACACAAACACTCTGAGAAAGTTCTTCATGATGAATGCATTTAACTCGCAGAGATGAACCTGCCTTTGAGAGTTCAGGTTCGAAACACTCTTTCTGTAGAATCTGCAAGTGGATATTTGGACCACTGGCTGGCCTTCGTTCGAAACGGGTATATGTTCACGTAAAAACTAAAGAGAAGCATTCTCAGAAACTTCTGAGTGATGATTGCATTCAAGTCACACAGTTGAACCCTCCTTTTGATGGAGCAGTTTTGAAACTGTCTTTTTGTAGAATCTGTAAGTGGATACGTGGACCTCTTTGAAGATTTCTTTGGAAACGGGAATATTTCCACAGAAAAACTAAACTGAAGCATTCTCAGAAACCGCTTTGTGATGTTTGTGTTCGAGCCACAGAGTTTAACATTGCTTTTCATAGAGCAGTTTTGAAATATTCTTTTGGCAGAATCTGCAAGTGGACATTTGGAGCGCTTTCAGGCCTGTGGTGGCAAAGGCCTGAAAGCCTTTTCCTTTATCTTCACAGAAAGACGAGAGAGAAGCATTGTCAGAAACTTCTTTGTGATGATTGCATTCAACTCACAGAGTTGAAGATTCCTTTTGAAACAGCAGTTTCGAAACACTCTTTCTGTGGGATCCGCAAGGGGATATTTGGACCTCTTTGAAGGTTTCGTTGGAAACGGGATAATCTTCACCTAAAAGCTAAACGGAAGCATTCTCAGAAACTTCTTTGGGATGTTTGCATTCACCTCACAGAGTTGAACTTTCCCTTTGATAGCGCAGCTTCGACACACTTTTTCTACAATGTGCAAGTGGCTATTTAGCGGGCTTGGAGGACTGTGTTGGAAAAGGAAATATCTTCTCCTAAAAACGACATAGAAGCATTCTCAGAAACTGCTCTGTGATGATTGCATTCAACTCCCAGAGTTGAACATTCCTTTTGATAGAGCAGTTTGCAAACACTCTTTTTGTAGAATCTGCAAGTGGAGATTTGGACCGCTTTGAGGCCTGTGGTAGTGAAGGAAAGAACTTCATATAAAAACCAGACGGTAGCACTCTCAGAAAATTCTTTGTGACGATGGAGTTTAACTCAGGGAGCTGAACATTCGTTATGATGGAGCAGTTTCCAAACACACGTTTTGTAGAATCTGTGAGGGGATATTTGGACCTCTCTGAGGATTTCGTTGGAAACGGGATCAACTTCCCATAACTGAACGGAAGCAAACTCAGAACATTCTTTGTGATGTTTGTATTCAACTCACAGAGTTGAACCTTCCTTTGATAGTTCAGGTTTGCAACACCCTTGTAGTAGAATCTGCAAGTGTATATTTTGACCACTTTGTAGCCTTCGTTTGAAACATGCTATATCTTCACATCAAACCTAGACAGAAGCATTCTCAGAAAGTTTTCTGCGATGACTGCATTCAACTCACAGAGTTGAACAATCCTTTTGATGGAGCAGTTTTGAAACCCTCTTTCTTTGGAATCTGCAAGGGGATATGTGGACCTCTTTGAAGATTTCACTGGAAACGGGATCATCTTCACATAAGAACTAAACAGAAGCATTCTCGGAAACTACTTTGTGATGTTTGTATTCAACTCCCAGAGTTGAACTTTCCTTTTGAAAGAGCAGCTATGAAACACACTTTTTCGAGAATCTGCAAGTGGACGTTTGGAGGGCTTTGAGGCCTGTGGTGGAAAAGGAAATATCTTCACATAAAAACTAGATAGAAGCATTCTCAGAAACGACTTTGTGAGGATGGCGTTCAACTCATGGAGTTGAACAATCCTGTTGATAGAGCAGATTGGAATCACTCTTTTTGTAGAATCTGCAAATGGAGATTTGGACTGCTTTGAGGCCTACGGTAGTATAGGAAGGAACTTCATATAAAAGGCAAACGGAAGCATTCTCAGAATATTCTTTGTGATGATGGAGTTTCACTCACAGAGCTGAACATGCCTTTTGATGGAGCAGTTTCCAAATACACTTTTGGTAGAATCTGCAGGTGGATATTTGGAGCTCTCTGAGGATTTCGTTGGAAACGGGAATAATTTCCCATAACTAAACACAAACACGCTGAGAAAGTTCTTCATGATGAATGCATTGAACTCGCAGAGATGAACCTGCCTTTGAGAGTTCAGGTTCGAAACACTCTTTCTGTAGAATCTGCAAGTGGATATTTGGACCACTGGCTGGCCTTCGTTCGAAACGGGTATATGTTCACGTAAAAACTAAAGAGAAGCATTCTCAGAAACTTCTGAGTGATGATTGCATTCAAGTCACACAGTTGAACCCTCCTTTTGATTGAGCAGTTTTGAAACTGTCTTTTTGTAGAATCTGTAAGTGGATGCGTGGACCTCTTTGAAGATTTCTTTGGAAACGGGAATATTTCCACAGAAAAACTAAACTGAAGCATTCTCAGAAACGGCTTTGTGATGTTTGTGTTCGAGCCACAGAGTTTAACATTGCTTTTCATAGAGCAGTTTTGAAATATTCTTTTGGCAGAATCTGCAAGTGGACATTTGGAGCACGTTCAGGCCTGTGGTGGAAAAGGCCTGAAAGCCTTTTCCTTTACCTTCACAGAAAGACGAGAGAGAAGCATTGTCAGAAACTTCTTTGTGATGATTGCATTCAACTCACAGAGTTGAAGATTCCTTTTGAAACAGCAGTTTCGAAACACTCTTTCTGTGGGATCCGCAGGGGGATATTTGGACCTCTTTGAAGATTTCGTTGGAAACGGGATAATCTTCACCTAAAAGCTAAACGGAAGTATTCTCAGAAACTTCTTTGGGATGTTTGCATTCACCTCACAGAGTTGAACTTTCCCTTTGATAGCGCAGCTTCGACACACTTTTTCTACAATGTGCAAGTGGATATTTAGCGGGCTTGGAGGACTGTGTTGGAAAAGGAAATATCTTCTCCTAAAAACGACATAGAAGCATTCTCAGAAACTGCTCTGTGATGATTGCTTTCAACTCCCAGAGTTGAACATTCCTTTTGATAGAGCAGTTTGCAAACACTCTTTTTGTAGAATCTGCAAGTGGAGATTTGGACCGCTTTGAGGCCTGTGGTAGTAAAGGAAAGAACTTCATATAAAAACTAGACGGTAGCACTCTCAGAAAATTCTTTGTGACGATGGAGTTTAACTCAGAGAGCTGAACATTCGTTATGATGGAGCAGTTTCCAAACACACGTTTTGTAGAATCTGCAAGGGGATATTTGGACCTCTCTGAGGATTTCGTTGGAAACGGTATCAATTTCCCATAACTGAACGGAAGCAAACTCAGAACATTTTTTGTGATGGTTGCATTCATCTCACAGAGTTGAACCTTCCTTTGATAGTTGAGGTTTGCATCACCCTTGTAGTAGAATCTGCAAGTGTATATTTTGACCACTTTGTAGCCTTCGTTTGAAACGTCTATATCTTCACATCAAACCTAGACAGAAGCATTCTCAGAAAGTTTTCTGCGATGACTGCATTCAACTCACAGAGTTGAACAATCCTTTTGATGGAGCAGTTTTGAAACCCTCTTTCTTTGGAATCTGCAAGGGGATATGTGGACCTCTTTGAAGATTTCACTGGAAACGGGATCATCTTCACATAAGAACTAAACAGAAGCATTCTCGGAAACTACTTTGTGATGTTTGTATTCAACTCCCAGAGTTGAACTTTCCTTTTGAAAGAGCAGCTATGAAACACTCTTTTTCGAGAATCTGCAAGTGGACGTTTGGAGGGCTTTGAGGCCTGTGGTGGAAAAGGAAATATCTTCACATAAAAACTAGATAGAAGCATTCTCAGAAACGACTTTGTGAGGATGGCATTCAACTCATGGAGTTGAACAGTCCTATTGATAGAGCAGATTGGAATCACTCTTTTTGTAGAATCTGCAAATGGAGATTTGGACTGCTTTGAGGCCTACGGTAGTATAGGAAGGAACTTCATATAAAAGGCAAACGGAGCATTCTCAGAATATTCTTTGTGATGATGGAGTTTCACACACAGAGCTGAACATGCCTTTTGATGGAGCAGTTTCCAAATACACTTTTGGTAGAATCTGCAGGTGGATATTTGAACCTCTCTGAGGATTTCGTTGGAAACGGGAATAATTTCCCATAACTAAACACAAACAGCATTCTCAGAAACTTCTGAGTGATGATTGCATTCAAGTCACACAGTTGAACCCTCGTTTTGATTGAGCAGTTTTGAAACTGTGTTTTTGTAGAATCTGTAAGTGGATGCGTGGACCTCTTTGAAGATTTCTTTGGAAACGGGAATATTTCCACAGAAAAACTAAACTGAAGCATTCTCAGAAACTGCTTTGTGATGTTTGTGTTCGAGCCGCAGAGTTTAACATTGCTTTTCATAGAGCAGTTTTGAAATATTCTTTTGGCAGAATCTGCAAGTGGACATTTGGAGCGCTTTCAGGCCTGTGGTGGAAAAGGCCTGAAAGCCTTTTCCTTTATCTTCACAGAAAGACGAGAGAGAAGCATTGTCAGAAACTTCTTTGTGATGATTGCATTCAACTCACAGAGTTGAAGATTCCTTTTGAAACAGCAGTTTCGAAACACTCTTTCTGTGGGAACCGCAAGGGGATATTTGGATCTATTTGAAGGTTTCGTTGGAAACTGGATAATCTTCACCTAAAAGCTAAACGGAAGCATTCTCAGAAACTTCTTTGGGATGTTTGCATTCACCTCACAGAGTTGAACTTTCCCTTTGATAGCGCAGCTTTGACACACTTTTTCTACAATGTGCAAGTGGCTATTTAGCGGGCTTGGAGGACTGTGTTGGAAAAGGAAATATCTTCTCCTAAAAACGACAAAGAAGCATTCTCAGAAACTGCTCTGTGATGATTGCATTCAACTCCCAGAGTTGAACATTCCTTTTGATAGAGCAGTTTGCAAACACTCTTTTTGTAGAATCTGCAAGTGGAGATTTGGACCGCTTTGAGGCCTGTGGTAGTGAAGGAAAGAACTTCATATAAAAACCAGACGGTAGCACTCTCAGAAAATTCTTTGTGACGATGGAGTTTAACTCAGGGAGCTGAACATTCGTTATGATGGAGCAGTTTCCAAACACACGTTTTGTAGAATCTGCGAGGGGATATTTGGACCTCTCTGAGGATTTCTTTGGAAACGGGATCAACTTCCCATAACTGAACGGAAGCAAACTCAGAACATTCTTTGTGATGTTTGTATTCAACTCACAGAGTTCAACCTTCCTTTGATAGTTCAGGTTTGCAACACCCTTGTAGTAGAATCTGCAAGTGTATATTTTGACCACTTTGTAGCCTTCGTTTGAAACGTCTATATCTTCACATCAAACCTAGACAGAAGCATTCTCAGAAAGTTTTCTGCGATGACTGCATTCAACTCACAGAGTTGAACAATCCTTCTGATGGAGCAGTTTTGAAACCCTCTTTCTTTGGAATCTGCAAGGGGATATGTGGACCTCTTTGAAGATTTCACTGGAAACGGGATCATCTTCACATAAAAACTAAACAGAAGCATTCTCGGAAACTACTTTGTGATGTTTGTATTCAACTCAAAGAGTTGAACTTTCCTTTTGAAAGAGCAGCTATGAAACACTCTTTTTCGAGAATCTGCAAGTGGACGTTTGGAGGGCTTTGAGGCCTGTGGTGGAAAAGGAAACATCTTCACACAAAAACCAGATAGAAGCATTCTCAGAAACTACTTTGTGAGGATGGCATTCAACTCATGGAGTTGAACAATCCTATTGATAGAGCAGATTGGAATCACTCTTTTTATAGAATCTGCAAATGGAGATTTGGACTGCTTTGAGGCCTACGGTAGTACAGGAAGGAACTTCATATAAAAGGCAAACGGGAAGCATTCTCAGAATATTCTTTGTGATGATGGAGTTTCACTCACAGAGCTGAACATGCCTTTTGATGGAGCAGTTTCCAAATACACTTTTGGTAGAATCTGCAGGTGGATATTTGGAGCTCCCTGAGGATTTCGTTGGAAACGGGAATAATTTCCCATAACTAAACACAAACACTCTGAGAAAGTTCTTCATGATGAATGCATTTAACTCGCAGAGATGAACCTGCCTTTGAGAGTTCAGGTTCGAAACACTCTTTCTGTAGAATCTGCAAGTGGATATTTGGACCACTGGGTGGCCTTCGTTCGAAACGCGTATATGTTCACGTAAAAACTAAAGAGAAGCATTCTCAGAAACTTCTGAGTGATGATTGCATTCAAGTCACACAGTTGAACCCTCCTTTTGATGGAGCAGTTTTGAAACTGTCTTTTTGTAGAATCTGTAAGTGGATACGTGGACCTCTTTGAAGATTTCTTTGGAAACGGGAATATTTCCACAGAAAAACTAAACTGAAGCATTCTCAGAAACTGCTTTGTGATGTTTGTGTTCGAGCCACAGAGTTTAACATTGCTTTTCATAGAGCAGTTTTGAAATATTCTTTTGGCAGAATCTGCAAGTGGACATTTGGAGCGCTTTCAGGCCTGTGGTTGGGAAAAGGCCTGAAAGCCTTTTCCTTTATCTTCACAGAAAGACGAGAGAGAAGCATTGTCAGAAACTTCTTTGTGATGATTGCATTCAACTCACAGAGTTGAAGATTCCTTTTGAAACAGCAGTTTCGAAACACTCTTTCTGTGGGATCCGCAAGGGGATATTTGGACCTCTTTGAAGGTTTCGTTGGAAACGGGATAATCTTCACCTAAAAGCTAAACGGAAGCATTCTCAGAAACTTCTTTGGGATGTTTGCATTCACCTCACAGAGTTGAACTTTCCCTTTGATAGCGCAGCTTTGACACACTTTTTCTACAATGTGCAAGTGGCTATTTAGCGGGCTTGGAGGACTGTGTTGGAAAAGGAAATATCTTCTCCTAAAAACGACATAGAAGCATTCTCAGAAACTGCTCTGTGATGATTGCATTCAACTCCCAGAGTTGAACATTCCTTTTGATAGAGCAGTTTGCAAACACTCTTTTTGTAGAATCTGCAAGTGGAGATTTGGACCGCTTTGAGGCCTGTGGTAGTGAAGGAAAGAACTTCATATAAAAACCAGACGGTAGCACTCTCAGAAAATTCTTTGTGACGATGGAGTTTAACTCAGGGAGCTGAACATTCGTTATGATGGAGCAGTTTCCAAACACACGTTTTGTAGAATCTGCGAGGGGATATTTGGACCTCTCTGAGGATTTCGTTGGAAACGGGATCAACTTCCCATAACTGAACGGAAGCAAACTCAGAACATTCTTTGTGATGTTTGTATTCAACTCACAGAGTTGAACCTTCCTTTGATAGTTCAGGTTTGCAACACCCTTGTAGTAGAATCTGCAAGTGTATATTTTGACCACTTTGTAGCCTTCGTTTGAAACGTCTATATCTTCACATCAAACCTAGACAGAAGCATTCTCAGAAAGTTTTCTGCGATGACTGCATTCAACTCACAGAGTTGAACAATCCTTCTGATGGAGCAGTTTTGAAACCCTCTTTCTTTGGAATCTGCAAGGGGATATGTGGACCTCTTTGAAGATTTCACTGGAAACGGGATCATCTTCACATAAAAACTAAACAGAAGCATTCTCGGAAACTACTTTGTGATGTTTGTATTCAACTCCCAGAGTTGAACTTTCCTTTTGAAAGAGCAGCTATGAAACACTCTTTTTCGAGAATCTGCAAGTGGACGTTTGGAGGGCTTTGAGGCCTGTGGTGGAAAAGGAAATATCTTCACATAAAAACTAGATAGAAGCATTCTCAGAAACGACTTTGTGAGGATGGCATTCAACTCATGGAGTTGAACAATCCTATTGATAGAGCAGATTGGAATCACTCTTTTTGTAGAATCTGCAAATGGAGATTTGGACTGCTTTGAGGCCTACGGTCGTATAGGAAGGAACTTCATATAAAAGGCAAACGGAAGCATTCTCAGAATATTCTTTGTGATGATGGAGTTTCACTCACAGAGCTGAACATGCCTTTTGATGGAGCAGTTTCCAAATACACTTTTGGTAGAATCTGCAGGTGGATATTTGGACCTCTCTGAGGATTTCGTTGGAAACGGGAATAATTTCCCATAACTAAATACAAACACTCTGAGAAAGTTCTTCATGATGAATGCATTTAACTCGCAGAGATGAACCTGCCTTTGAGAGTTCATGTTCGAAACACTCTTTCTGTAGAATCTGCAAGTGGATATTTCGACCACTGGCTGGCCTTCGTTCGAAACGGGTATATGTTCACGTAAAAACTAAAGAGAAGCATTCTCAGAAACTGGTGAGTGATGATTGCATTCAAGTCACACAGTTGAACCCTCCTTTTGATGGAGCAGTTTTGAAACTGTCTTTTTGTAGAATCTGTAAGTGGATACGTGGACCTCTTTGAAGATTTCTTTGGAAACGGGAATATTTCCACAGAAAAACTAAACTGAAGCATTCTCAGAAACCGCTTTGTGATGTTTGTGTTCGAGCCACAGAGTTTAACATTGCTTTTCATAGAGCAGTTTTGAAATATTCTTTTCGCAGAATCTGCAAGTGGACATTTGGAGCGCTTTCAGGCCTGTGGTGGAAAAGGCCTGAAAGCCTTTTCCTTTATCTTCACAGAAAGACGAGAGAGAAGCATTGTCAGAAACTTCTTTGTGATGATTGCATTCAACTCACAGAGTTGAAGATTCCTTTTGAAACAGCAGTTTCGAAACACTCTTTCTGTGGGATCCGCAAGGGGATATTTGGACCTCTTTGAAGGTTTCGTTGGAAACGGGATAATCTTCACCTAAAAGCTAAACGGAAGCATTCTCAGAAACTTCTTTGGGATGTTTGCATTCACCTCACAGAGTTGAACTTTCCCTTTGATAGCGCAGCTTTGACACACTTTTTCTACAATGTGCAAGTGGCTATTTAGCGGGCTTGGAGGACTGTGTTGGAAAAGGAAATATCTTCTCCTAAAAACGACATAGAAGCATTCTCAGAAACTGCTCTGTGATGATTGCATTCAACTCCCAGTGTTGAACATTCCTTTTGATAGAGCAGTTTGCAAACACTCTTTTTGTAGAATCTGCAAGTGGAGATTTGGACCGCTTTGAGGCCTGTGGTAGTGAAGGAAAGAACTTCATATAAAAACCAGACGGTAGCACTCTCAGAAAATTCTTTGTGACGATGGAGTTTAACTCAGGGAGCTGAACATTCGTTATGATGGAGCAGTTTCCAAACACACGTTTTGTAGAATCTGCGAGGGGATATTTGGACCTCTCTGAGGATTTCGTTGGAAACGGGATCAACTTCCCATAACTGAACGGAAGCAAACTCAGAACATTCTTTGTGATGTTTGTATTCAACTCACAGAGTTGAACCTTCCTTTGATAGTTCAGGTTTGCAACACCCTTGTAGTAGAATCTGCAAGTGTATATTTTGACCACTTTGTAGCCTTCATTTGAAACGTCTATATCTTCACATCAAACCTAGACAGAAGCATTCTCAGAAAGTTTTCTGCGATGACTGCATTCAACTCACAGAGTTGAACAATCCTTCTGATGGAGCAGTTTTGAAACCCTCTTTCTTTGGAATCTGCAAGGGGATATGTGGACCTCTTTGAAGATTTCACTGGAAACGGGATCATCTTCACATAAAAACTAAACAGAAGCATTCTCAGAAACTACTTTGTGATGTTTGTATTCAACTCCCAGAGTTGAACTTTCCTTTTGAAAGAGCAGCTATGAAACACTCTTTTTCGAGAATCTGAAAGTGGACGTTTGGAGGGCTTTGAGGCCTGTGGTGGAAAAGGAAATATCTTCACATAAAAACTAGATAGAAGCATTCTCAGAAACGACATTGTGAGGATGGCATTCAACTCATGGAGTTGAACAATCCTATTGATAGAGCAGATTGGAATCACTCTTTTTGTAGAATCTGCAAATGGAGATTTGGACTGCTTTGAGGCCTACGGTAGTATAGGAAGGAACTTCATATAAAAGGCAAACGGAAGCATTCTCAGAATATTCTTTGTGATGATGGAGTTTCACTCACAGAGCTGAACATGCCTTTTGATGGAGCAGTTTCCAAATACACTTTTGGTAGAATCTGCAGGTGGATATTTGGAGCTCTCTGAGGATTTCGTTGGAAACGGGAATAATTTCCCATAACTAAACACAAACACTCTGAGAAAGTTCTTCATGATGAATGCATTTAACTCGCAGAGATGAACCTGCCTTTGAGAGTTCAGGTTCGAAACACTCTTTCTGTAGAATCTGCAAGTGGATATTTGGACCACTGGGTGGCCTTCGTTCGAAACGGGTATATGTTCACGTAAAAACTAAAGAGAAGCATTCTCAGAAACTTCTGAGTGATGATTGCATTCAAGTCACACAGTTGAACCCTCCTTTTGATGGAGCAGTTTTGAAACTGTCTTTTTGTAGAATCTGTAAGTGGATACGTGGACCTCTTTGAAGATTTCTTTGGAAACGGGAGTATTTCCACAGAAAATCTAAACTGAAGCATTCTCAGAAACTGCTTTGTGATGTTTGTGTTCGAGCCACAGAGTTTAACATTGCTTTTCATAGAGCAGTTTTGAAATATTCTTTTGGCAGAATCTGCAAGTGGACATTTGGAGCGCTTTCAGGCCTGTGGTGGAAAAGGCCTGAAAGCCTTTTCCTTTATCTTCACAGAAAGACGAGAGAGAAGCATTGTCAGAAACTTCTTTGTGATGATTGCATTCAACTCACAGAGTTGAAGATTCCTTTTGAAACAGCAGTTTCGAAACACTCTTTCTGTGGGATCCACAAGGGGATATTTGGACCTCTTTGAAGGTTTCGTTGGAAACGGGATAATCTTCACCTAAAAGCTAAACGGAAGCATTCTCAGAAACTTCTTTGGGATGTTTGCATTCACCTCACAGAGTTGAACTTTCCCTTTGATAGCGCAGCTTTGACACACTTTTTCTACAATGTGCAAGTGGCTATTTAGCGGGCTTGGAGGACTGTGTTGGAAAAGGAAATATCTTCTCCTAAAAACGACATAGAAGCATTCTCAGAAACTGCTCTGTGATGATTGCATTCAACTCCCAGAGTTGAACATTCCTTTTGATAGAGCAGTTTGCAAACACTCTTTTTGTAGAATCTGCAAGTGGAGATTTGGACCGCTTTGAGGCCTGTGGTAGTGAAGGAAAGAACTTCATATAAAAACCAGACGGTAGCACTCTCAGAAAATTCTTTGTGACGATGGAGTTTAACTCAGGGAGCTGAACATTCGTTATGATGGAGCAGTTTCCAAACACACGTTTTGTAGAATCTGCGAGGGGATATTTGGACCTCTCTGAGGATTTCGTTGGAAACGGGATCAACTTCCCATAACTGAACGGAAGCAAACTCAGAACATTCTTTGTGATGTTTGTATTCAACTCACAGAGTTGAACCTTCCTTTGATAGTTCAGGTTTGCAACACCCTTGTAGTAGAATCTGCAAGTGTATATTTTGACCACTTTGTAGCCTTCGTTTGAAACGTCTATATCTTCACATCAAACCTAGACAGAAGCATTCTCAGAAAGTTTTCTGCGATGACTGCATTCAACTCACAGAGTTGAACAATCCTTCTGATGGAGCAGTTTTGAAACCCTCTTTCTTTGGAATCTGCAAGGGGATATGTGGACCTCTTTGAAGATTTCACTGGAAACGGGATCGATCATCTTCACATAAAAACTAAACAGAAGCATTCTCGGAAACTACTTTGTGATGTTTGTATTCAACTCCCAGAGTTGAACTTTCCTTTTGAAAGAGCAGCTATGAAACACTCTTTTTCGAGAATCTGCAAGTGGACGTTTGGAAGGCTTTGAGGCCTGTGGTGGAAAAGGAAATATCTTCACATAAAAACTAGATAGAAGCATTCTCAGAAACGACTTTGTGAGGATGGCATTCAACTCATGGAGTTGAACAATCCTATTGATAGAGCAGATTGGAATCACTCTTTTTGTAGAATCTGCAAATGGAGATTTGGACTGCTTTGAGGCCTACGGTCGTATAGGAAGGAACTTCATATAAAAGGCAAACGGAAGCATTCTCAGAATATTCTTTGTGACGATGGAGTTTCACGCACAGAGCTGAACATGCCTTTTGATGGAGCAGTTTCCAAATACACTTTTGGTAGAATCTGCAGGTGGATATTTGGAGCTCTCTGAGGATTTCGTTGGAAACGGGAATAATTTCCCATAACTAAACACAAACACTCTGAGAAAGTTCTTCATGATGAATGCATTTAACTCGCAGAGATGAACCTGCCTTTGAGAGTTCAGGTTCGAAACACTCTTTCTGTAGAATCTGCAAGTGGATATTTGGACCACTGGGTGGCCTTCGTTCGAAACGGGTATATGTTCACGTAAAAACTAAAGAGAAGCATTCTCAGAAACTTCTGAGTGATGATTGCATTCAAGTCACACAGTTGAACCCTCCTTTTGATGGAGCAGTTTTGAAACTGTCTTTTTGTAGAATCTGTAAGTGGATACGTGGACCTCTTTGAAGATTTCTTTGGAAACGGGAATATTTCCACAGAAAAACTAAACTGAAGCATTCTCAGAAACTGCTTTGTGATGTTTGTGTTCGAGCCACAGAGTTTAACATTGCTTTTCATAGAGCAGTTTTGAAATATTCTTTTCGCAGAATCTGCAAGTGGACATTTGGAGCGCTTTCAGGCCTGTGGTGGAAAAGGCCTGAAAGCCTTTTCTTTATCTTCACAGAAAGACGAGAGAGAAGCATTGTCAGAAACTTCTTTGTGATGATTGCATTCAACTCACAGAGTTGAAGATTCCTTTTGAAACAGCAGTTTCGAAACACTCTTTCTGTGGGATCCGCAAGGGGATATTTGCACCTCTTTGAAGGTTTCGTTGGAAACGGGATAATCTTCACCTAAAAGCTAAACGGAAGCATTCTCAGAAACTTCTTTGGGATGTTTGCATTCACCTCACAGAGTTGAACTTTCCCTTTGATAGCGCAGCTTTGACACACTTTTTCTACAATGTGCAAGTGGCTATTTAGCGGGCTTGGAGGACTGTGTTGGAAAAGGAAATATCTTCTCCTAAAAACGACATAGAAGCATTCTCAGAAACTGCTCTGTGATGATTGCATTCAACTCCCAGAGTTGAACATTCCTTTTGATAGAGCAGTTTGCAAACACTCTTTTTGTAGAATCTGCAAGTGGAGATTTGGACCGCTTTGAGGCCTGTGGTAGTGAAGGAAAGAACTTCATATAAAAACCAGACGGTAGCACTCTCAGAAAATTCTTTGTGACGATGGAGTTTAACTCAGGGAGCTGAACATTCGTTATGATGGAGCAGTTTCCAAACACACGTTTTGTAGAATCTGCGAGGGGATATTTGGACCTCTCTGAGGATTTCGTTGGAAACGGGATCAACTTCCCATAACTGAACGGAAGCAAACTCAGAACATTCTTTGTGATGTTTGTATTCAACTCACAGAGTTGAACCTTCCTTTGATAGTTCAGGTTTGCAACACCCTTGTAGTAGAATCTGCAAGTGTATATTTTGACCACTTTGTAGCCTTCATTTGAAACGTCTATATCTTCACATCAAACCTAGACAGAAGCATTCTCAGAAAGTTTTCTGCGATGACTGCATTCAACTCACAGAGTTGAACAATCCTTCTGATGGAGCAGTTTTGAAACCCTCTTTCTTTGGAATCTGCAAGGGGATATGTGGACCTCTTTGAAGATTTCACTGGAAACGGGATCATCTTCACATAAAAACTAAACAGAAGCATTCTCGGAAACTATTTTGTGATGTTTGTATTCAACTCCCAGAGTTGAACTTTCCTTTTGAAAGAGCAGCTATGAAACACTCTTTTTCGAGAATCTGCAAGTGGACGTTTGGAGGGCTTTGAGGCCTGTGGTGGAAAAGGAAATATCTTCACACAAAAACCAGATAGAAGCATTCTCAGAAACTACTTTGTGAGGATGGCATTCAACTCATGGAGTTGAACAATCCTATTGATAGAGCAGATTGGAATCACTCTTTTTGTAGAATCTGCAAATGGAGATTTGGACTGCTTTGAGGCCTACGGTAGTACAGGAAGGAACTTCATATAAAAGGCAAACGGAAGCATTCTCAGAATATTCTTTGTGATGATGGAGTTTCACTCACAGAGCTGAACATGCCTTTTGATGGAGCAGTTTCCAAATACACTTTTGGTAGAATCTGCAGGTGGATATTTGGAGCTCTCTGAGGATTTCGTTGGAAACGGGAATAATTTCCCATAACTAAACACAAACACTCTGAGAAAGTTCTTCATGATGAATGCATTTAACTCGCAGAGATGAACCTGCCTTTGAGAGTTCAGGTTCGAAACACTCTTTCTGTAGAATCTGCAAGTGGATATTTGGACCACTGGGTGGCCTTCGTTCAAAACGGGTATATGTTCACGTAAAAACTAAAGAGAAGCATTCTCAGAAACTTCTGAGTGATGATTGCATTCAAGTCACACAGTTGAACCTTCCTTTTGATGGAGCAGTTTTGAAACTGTCTTTTTGTAGAATCTGTAAGTGGATACGTGGACCTCTTTGAAGATTTCTTTGGAAACGGGAATATTTCCACAGAAAAACTAAACTGAAGCATTCTCAGAAACTGCTTTGTGATGTTTGTGTTCGAGCCACAGAGTTTAACATTGCTTTTCATAGAGCAGTTTTGAAATATTCTTTTGGCACAATCTGCAAGTGGACATTTGGAGTGCTTTCAGGCCTGTGGTGGAAAAGGCCTGAAAGCCTTTTCCTTTATCTTCACAGAAAGACGAGAGAGAAGCATTGTCAGAAACTTCTTTGTGATGATTGCATTCAACTCACAGAGTTGAAGATTCTTTTTGAAACAGCAGTTTCGAAACACTCTTTCTGTGGGATCCGCAAGGGGATATTTGGACCTCTTTGAAGATTTCGTTGGAAACGGGATAATCTTCACCTAAAAGCTAAACGGAAGCATTCTCAGCAAACTTCTTTGGGATGTTTGCATTCACCTCACAGAGTTGAACTTTCCCTTTGATAGCGCAGCTTTGACACACTTTTTCTACAATGTGCAAGTGGCTATTTAGCGGGCTTGGAGGACTGTGTTGGAAAAGGAAATATCTTCTAAAAACGACATAGAAGCATTCTCAGAAACTGCTCTGTGATGATTGCATTCAACTCCCAGAGTTGAACATTCCTTTTGATAGAGCAGTTTGCAAACACTCTTTTTGTAGAATCTGCAAGTGGAGATTTGGACCGCTTTGAGGCCTGTGGTAGTGAAGGAAAGAACTTCATATAAAAACCAGACGGTAGCACTCTCAGAAAATTCTTTGTGACGATGGAGTTTAACTCAGTGAGCTGAACATTCGTTATGATGGAGCAGTTTCCAAACACACGTTTTGTAGAATCTGCGAGGGGATATTTGGACCTCTCTGAGGATTTCGTTGGAAACGGGATCAACTTCCCATAACTGAACGGAAGCAAACTCAGAACATTCTTTGTGATGTTTGTATTCAATTCACAGAGTTGAACCTTCCTTTGATAGTTCAGGTTTGCAACACCCTTGTAGTAGAATCTGCAAGTGTATATTTTGACCACTTTGTAGCCTTCGTTTGAAACGTCTATATCTTCACATCAAACCTAGACAGAAGCATTCTCAGAAAGTTTTCTGCGATGACTGCATTCAACTCACAGAGTTGAACAATCCTTCTGATGGAGCAGTTTTGAAACCCTCTTTCTTTGGAATCTGCAAGGGGATATGTGGACCTCTTTGAAGATTTCACTGGAAACGGGATCATCTTCACATAAAAACTAAACAGAAGCATTCTCAGAAACTACTTTGTGATGTTTGTATTCAACTCCCAGAGTTGAACTTTCCTTCTGAAAGAGCAGCTATGAAACACTCTTTTTCGAGAATCTGCAAGTGGACGTTTGGAGGGCTTTGAGGCCTGTGGTGGAAAAGGAAATATCTTCACATAAAAACTAGATAGAAGCATTCTCAGAAACGACTTTGTGAGGATGGCATTCAACTCATGGAGTTGAACAATCCTATTGATAGAGCAGATTGGAATCACTCTTTTTGTAGAATCTGCAAATGGAGATTTGGACTGCTTTGAGGCCTACGGTCGTATAGGAAGGAACTTCATATAAAAGGCAAACGGAAGCATTCTCAGAATATTCTTTGTGATGATGGAGTTTCACTCACAGAGCTGAACATGCCTTTTGATGGAGCAGTTTCCAAATACACTTTTGGTAGAATCTGCAGGTGGATATTTGGACCTCTCTGAGGATTTCGTTGGAAACGGGAATAATTTCCCATAACTAAACACAAACACTCTGAGAAAGTTCTTCATGATGAATGCATTTAACTCGCAGAGATGAACCTGCCTTTGAGAGTTCATGTTCGAAACACTCTTTCTGTAGAATCTGCAAGTGGATATTTGGACCACTGGCTGGCCTTCGTTCGAAACGGGTATATGTTCACGTAAAAACTAAAGAGAAGCATTCTCAGAAACTTCTGAGTGATGATTGCATTCAAGTCACACAGTTGAACCCTCCTTTTGATGGAGCAGTTTTGAAACTGTCTTTTTGTAGAATCTGTAAGTGGATACGTGGACCTCTTTGAAGATTTCTTTGGAAACGGGAATATTTCCACAGAAAAACTAAACTGAAGCATTCTCAGAAACCGCTTTGTGATGTTTGTGTTCGAGCCACAGAGTTTAACATTGCTTTTCATAGAGCAGTTTTTAAATATTCTTTTGGCAGAATCTGCAAGTGGACATTTGGAGCGCTTTCAGGCCTGTGGTGGAAAAGGCCTGAAAGCCTTTTCCTTTATCTTCACAGAAAGACGAGAGAGAAGCATTGTCAGAAACTTCTTTGTGATGATTGCATTCAACTCACAGAGTTGAAGATTCCTTTTGAAACAGCAGTTTCGAAACACTCTTTCTGTGGGATCCGCAAGGGGATATTTGGACCTCTTTGAAGGTTTCGTTGGAAACGGGATAATCTTCACCTAAAAGCTAAACGGAAGCATTCTCAGAAACTTCTTTGGGATGTTTGCATTCACCTCACAGAGTTGAACTTTCCCTTTGATAGCGCAGCTTTGACACACTTTTTCTACAATGTGCAAGTGGCTATTTAGCGGGCTTGGAGGACTGTGTTGGAAAAGGAAATATCTTCTCCTAAAAACGACATAGAAGCATTCTCAGAAACTGCTCTGTGATGATTGCATTCAACTCCCAGAGTTGAACATTCCTTTTGATAGAGCAGTTTGCAAACACTCTTTTTGTAGAATCTGCAAGTGGAGATTTGGACCGCTTTGAGGCCTGTGGTAGTGAAGGAAAGAACTTCATATAAAAACCAGACGGTAGCACTCTCAGAAAATTCTTTGTGACGATGGAGTTTAACTCAGGGAGCTGAACATTCGTTATGATGGAGCAGTTTCCAAACACACGTTTTGTAGAATCTGCAAGGGGATATTTGGACCTCTCTGAGGATTTCGTTGGAAACGGGATCAACTTCCCATAACTGAACGGAAGCAAACTCAGAACATTCTTTGTGATGTTTGTATTCAACTCACAGAGTTGAACCTTCCTTTCATAGTTCAGGTTTGCAACACCCTTGTAGTAGAATCTGCAAGTGTATATTTTGACCACTTTGTAGCCTTCGTTTGAAACGTCTATATCTTCACATCAAACCTAGACAGAAGCATTCTCAGAAAGTTTTCTGCGATGACTGCATTCAACTCACCAGAGTTGAACAATCCTTTTGATGGAGCAGTTTTGAAACCCTCTTTCTTTGGAATCTGCAAGGGGATATGTGGACCTCTTTGAAGATTTCACTGGAAACGGGATCATCTTCACATAAAAACTAAACAGAAGCATTCTCGGAAACTATTTTGTGATGTTTGTATTCAACTCCCAGAGTTGAACTTTCCTTTTGAAAGAGCAGCTATGAAACACTCTTTTTCGAGAATCTGCAAGTGGACGTTTGGAGGGCTTTGAGGCCTGTGGTGGAAAAGGAAATATCTTCACACAAAAACCAGATAGAAGCATTCTCAGAAACTACTTTGTGAGGATGGCATTCAACTCATGGAGTTGAACAATCCTATTGATAGAGCAGATTGGAATCACTCTTTTTATAGAATCTGCAAATGGAGATTTGGACTGCTTTGAGGCCTACGGTAGTACAGGAAGGAACTTCATATAAAAGGCAAACGGAAGCATTCTCAGAATATTCTTTGTGATGATGGAGTTTCACTCACAGAGCTGAACATGCCTTTTGATGGAGCAGTTTCCAAATACACTTTTGGTAGAATCTGCAGGTGGATATTTGGAGCTCTCTGAGGATTTCGTTGGAAACGGGAATAATTTCCCATAACTAAACACAAACACTCTGAGAAAGTTCTTCATGATGAATGCATTTAACTCGCAGAGATGAACCTGCCTTTGAGAGTTCAGGTTCGAAACACTCTTTCTGTAGAATCTGCAAGTGGATATTTGGACCACTGGGTGGCCTTCGTTCGAAACGGGTATATGTTCACATAAAAACTAAAGAGAAGCATTCTCAGAAACTTCTGAGTGATGATTGCATTCAAGTCACACAGTTGAACCCTCCTTTTGATGGAGCAGTTTTGAAACTGTCTTTTTGTAGAATCTGTAAGTGGATACGTGGACCTCTTTGAAGATTTCTTTGGAAACGGGAATATTTCCACAGAAAAACTAAACTGAAGCATTCTCAGAAACCGCTTTGTGATGTTTGTGTTCGAGCCGCAGAGTTTAACATTGCTTTTCATAGAGCAGTTTTGAAATATTCTTTTGGCAGAATCTGCAAGTGGACATTTGGAGCGCTTTCAGGCCTGTGGTGGCAAAGGCCTGAAAGCCTTTTCCTTTATCTTCACAGAAAGACGAGAGAGAAGCATTGTCAGAAACTTCTTTGTGATGATTGCATTCAACTCACAGAGTTGAAGATTCCTTTTGAAACAGCAGTTTCGAAACACTCTTTCTGTGGGATCCGCAAGGGGATATTTGGACCTCTTTGAAGGTTTCGTTGGAAACGGGATAATCTTCACCTAAAAGCTAAACGGAAGCATTCTCAGAAACTTCTTTGGGATGTTTGCATTCACCTCACAGAGTTGAACTTTCCCTTTGATAGCGCAGCTTTGACACACTTTTTCTACAATGTGCAAGTGGCTATTTAGCGGGCTTGGAGGACTGTGTTGGAAAAGGAAATATCTTCTCCTAAAAACGACATAGAAGCATTCTCAGAAACTGCTCTGTGATGATTGCATTCAACTCCCAGAGTTGAACATTCCTTTTGATAGAGCAGTTTGCAAACACTCCTTTTGTAGAATCTGCAAGTGGAGATTTGGACCGCTTTGAGGCCTGTGGTAGTGAAGGAAAGAACTTCATATAAAAACCAGACGGTAGCACTCTCAGAAAATTCTTTGTGACGATGGAGTTTAACTCAGGGAGCTGAACATTCGTTATGATGGAGCAGTTTCCAAACACACGTTTTGTAGAATCTGCAAGGGGATATTTGGACCTCTCTGAGGATTTCGTTGGAAACGGGATCAACTTCCCATAACTGAACGGAAGCAAACTCAGAACATTCTTTGTGATGTTTGTATTCAACTCACAGAGTTGAACCTTCCTTTGATAGTTCAGGTTTGCAACACCCTTGTAGTAGAATCTGCAAGTGTATATTTTGACCACTTTGTAGCCTTCGTTTGAAACGTCTATATCTTCACATCAAACCTAGACAGAAGCATTCTCAGAAAGTTTTCTGCGATGACTGCATTCAACTCACAGAGTTGAACAATCCTTCTGATGGAGCAGTTTTGAAACCCTCTTTCTTTGGAATCTGCAAGGGGATATGTGGACCTCTTTGAAGATTTCACTGGAAACGGGATCATCTTCATATAAAAACTAAACAGAAGCATTCTCAGAAACTATTTTGTGATGTTTGTATTCAACTCCCAGAGTTGAACTTTCCTTTTGAAAGAGCAGCTATGAAACACTCTTTTTCGAGAATCTGCAAGTGGACGTTTGGAGGGCTTTGAGGCCTGTGGTGGAAAAGGAAATATCTTCACACAAAAACCAGATAGAAGCATTCTCAGAAACTACTTTGTGAGGATGGCATTCAACTCATGGAGTTGAACAATCCTATTGATAGAGCAGATTGGAATCACTCTTTTTGTAGAATCTGCAAATGGAGATTTGGACTGCTTTGAGGCCTACGGTAGTACAGGAAGGAACTTCATATAAAAGGCAAACGGAAGCATTCTCAGAATATTCTTTGTGATGATGGAGTTTCACTCACAGAGCTGAACATGCCTTTTGATGGAGCAGTTTCCAAATACACTTTTGGTAGAATCTGCAGGTGGATATTTGGAGCTCTCTGAGGATTTCGTTGGAAAGGGGAATAATTTCCCATAACTAAACACAAACACTCTGAGAAAGTTCTTCATGATGAATGCATTTAACTCGCAGAGATGAACCTGCCTTTGAGAGTTCAGGTTCGAAACACTCTTTCTGTATAATCTGCAAGTGGATATTTGGACCACTGGGTGGCCTTCGTTCGAAACGGGTATATGTTCACGTAAAAACTAAAGAGAAGCATTCTCAGAAACTTCTGAGTGATGATTGCATTCAAGTCACACGGTTGAACCCTCCTTTTGATGGAGCAGTTTTGAAACTGTCTTTTTGTAGAATCTGTAAGTGGATACGTGGACCTCTTTGAAGATTTCTTTGGAAACGGGAATATTTCCACAGAAAAACTAAACTGAAGCATTCTCAGAAACTGCTTTGTGATGTTTGTGTTCGAGCCACAGAGTTTAACATTGCTTTTCATAGAGCAGTTTTGAAATATTCTTTTCGCAGAATCTGCAAGTGGACATTTGGAGCGCTTTCAGGCCTGTGGTGGCAAAGGCCTGAAAGCCTTTTCCTTTATCTTCACAGAAAGACGAGAGAGAAGCATTGTCAGAAACTTCTTTGTGATGATTGCATTCAACTCACAGAGTTGAAGATTCCTTTTGAAACAGCAGTTTCGAAACACTCTTTCTGTGGGATCCGCAAGGGGATATTTGGACCTCTTTGAAGGTTTCGTTGGAAACGGGATAATCTTCACCTAAAAGCTAAACGGAAGCATTCTCAGAAACTTCTTTGGGATGTTTGCATTCACCTCACAGAGTTGAACTTTCCCTTTGATAGCGCAGCTTTGACACACTTTTTCTACAATGTGCAAGTGGCTATTTAGCGGGCTTGGAGGACTGTGTTGGAAAAGGAAATATCTTCTCCTAAAAACGACATAGAAGCATTCTCAGAAACTGCTCTGTGATGATTGCATTCAACTCCCAGAGTTGAACATTCCTTTTGATAGAGCAGTTTGCAAACACTCTTTTTGTAGAATCTGCAAGTGGAGATTTGGACCGCTTTGAGGCCTGTGGTAGTGAAGGAAAGAACTTCATATAAAAACCAGACGGTAGCACTCTCAGAAAATTCTTTGTGACGATGGAGTTTAACTCAGGGAGCTGAACATTCGTTATGATGGAGCAGTTTCCAAACACACGTTTTGTAGAATCTGCGAGGGGATATTTGGACCTCTCTGAGGATTTCGTTGGAAACGGGATCAACTTCCCATAACTGAACGGAAGCAAACTCAGAACATTCTTTGTGATGTTTGTATTCAATTCACAGAGTTGAAACTTCCTTTGATAGTTCAGGTTTGCAACACCCTTGTAGTAGAATCTGCAAGTGTATATTTTGACCACTTTGTAGCCTTCGTTTGAAACGTCTATATCTTCACATCAAACCTAGACAGAAGCATTCTCAGAAAGATTTCTGCGATGACTGCATTGAACTCACAGAGTTGAACAATCCTTCTGATGGAGCAGTTTTTAAACCCTCTTTCTTTGGAATCTGCAAGGGGATATGTGGACCTCTTTGAAGATTTCACTGGAAACGGGATCATCTTCACATAAAAACTAAACAGAAGCATTCTCGGAAACTATTTTGTGATGTTTGTATTCAACTCCCAGAGTTGAACTTTCCTTTTGAAAGAGCAGCTATGAAACACTCTTTTTCGAGAATCTGCAAGTGGACGTTTGGAGGGCTTTGAGGCCTGTGGTGGAAAAGGAAATATCTTCACACAAAAACCAGATAGAAGCATTCTCAGAAACGACTTTGTGAGGATGGCATTCAACTCATGGAGTTGAACAATCCTATTGATAGAGCAGATTGGAATCACTCTTTTTGTAGAATCTGCAAATGGAGATTTGGACTGCTTTGAGGCCTACGGTAGTACAGGAAGGAACTTCATATAAAAGGCAAACGGGAAGCATTCTCAGAATATTCTTTGTGATGATGGAGTTTCACTCACAGAGCTGAACATGTCTTTTGATGGAGCAGTTTCCAAATACACTTTTGGTAGAATCTGCAGGTGGATATTTGGAGCTCTTTGAGGATTTCGTTGGAAACGGGAATAATTTCCCATAACTAAACACAAACACGCTGAGAAAGTTCTTCATGATGAATGCATTTAACTCGCAGAGATGAACCTGCCTTTGAGAGTTCAGGTTCGAAACACTCTTTCTGTAGAATCTGCAAGTGGATATTTGGACCACTGGGTGGCCTTCGTTCGAAACGGGTATATGTTCACGTAAAAACTAAAGAGAAGCATTCTCAGAAACTTCTGAGTGATGATTGCATTCAAGTCACACAGTTGAACCCTCCTTTTGATGGAGCAGTTTTGAAACTGTCTTTTTGTAGAATCTGTAAGTGGATACGTGGACCTCTTTGAAGATTTCTTTGGAAACGGGAATATTTCCACAGAAAAACTAAACTGAAGCATTCTCAGAAACCGCTTTGTGATGTTTGTGTTCGAGCCACAGAGTTTAACATTGCTTTTCATAGAGCAGTTTTGAAATATTCTTTTCGCAGAATCTGCAAGTGGACATTTGGAGCGCTTTCAGGCCTGTGGTGGCAAAGGCCTGAAAGCCTTTTCCTTTATCTTCACAGAAAGACGAGAGAGAAGCATTGTCAGAAACTTCTTTGTGATGATTGCATTCAACTCACAGAGTTGAAGATTCCTTTTGAAACAGCAGTTTCGAAACACTCTTTCTGTGGGATCCGCAAGGGGATATTTGGACCTCTTTGAAGGTTTCGTTGGAAACGGGATAATCTTCACCTAAAAGCTAAACGGAAGCATTCTCAGAAACTTCTTTGGGATGTTTGCATTCACCTCACAGAGTTGAACTTTCCCTTTGATAGCGCAGCTTTGACACACTTTTTCTACAATGTGCAAGTGGCTATTTAGCGGGCTTGGAGGACTGTGTTGGAAAAGGAAATATCTTCTCCTAAAAACGACATAGAAGCATTCTCAGAAACTGCTCTGTGATGATTGCATTCAACTCCCAGAGTTGAACATTCCTTTTGATAGAGCAGTTTGCAAACACTCTTTTTGTAGAATCTGCAAGTGGAGATTTGGACCGCTTTGAGGCCTGTGGTAGTGAAGGAAAGAACTTCATATAAAAACCAGACGGTAGCACTCTCAGAAAATTCTTTGTGACGATGGAGTTTAACTCAGGGAGCTGAACATTCGTTATGATGGAGCAGTTTCCAAACACACGTTTTGTAGAATCTGCGAGGGGATATTTGGACCTCTCTGAGGATTTCGTTGGAAACGGGATCAACTTCCCATAACTGAACGGAAGCAAACTCAGAACATTCTTTGTGATGTTTGTATTCAACTCACAGAGTTGAACCTTCCTTTGATAGTTCAGGTTTGCAACACCCTTGTAGTAGAATCTGCAAGTGTATATTTTGACCACTTTGTAGCCTTCGTTTGAAACGTCTATATCTTCACATCAAACCTAGACAGAAGCATTCTCAGAAAGTTTTCTGCGATGACTGCATTCAACTCACAGAGTTGAACAATCCTCTGATGGAGCAGTTTTGAAACCCTCTTTCTTTGGAATCTGCAAGGGGATATGTGGACCTCTTTGAAGATTTCACTGGAAACGGGATCATCTTCACATAAAAACTAAACAGAAGCATTCTCGGAAACTATTTTGTGATGTTTGTATTCAACTCCCAGAGTTGAACTTTCCTTTTGAAAGAGCAGCTATGAAACACTCTTTTTCGAGAATCTGCAAGTGGACGTTTGGAGGGCTTTGAGGCCTGTGGTGGAAAAGGAAATATCTTCACACAAAAACCAGATAGAAGCATTCTCAGAAACTACTTTGTGAGGATGGCATTCAACTCATGGAGTTGAACAATCCTATTGATAGAGCAGATTGGAATCACTCTTTTTATAGAATCTGCAAATGGAGATTTGGACTGCTTTGAGGCCTACGGTAGTACAGGAAGGAACTTCATATAAAAGGCAAACGGAAGCATTCTCAGAATATTCTTTGTGATGATGGAGTTTCACTCACAGAGCTGAACATGCCTTTTGATGGAGCAGTTTCCAAATACACTTTTGGTAGAATCTGCAGGTGGATATTTGGAGCTCTCTGAGGATTTCGTTGGAAACGGGAATAATTTCCCATAACTAAACACAAACACTCTGAGAAAGTTCTTCATGATGAATGCATTTAACTCGCAGAGATGAACCTGCCTTTGAGAGTTCAGGTTCGAAACACTCTTTCTGTATAATCTGCAAGTGGATATTTGGACCACTGGGTGGCCTTCGTTCGAAACGGGTATATGTTCACGTAAAAACTAAAGAGAAGCATTCTCAGAAACTTCTGAGTGATGATTGCATTCAAGTCACACGGTTGAACCCTCCTTTTGATGGAGCAGTTTTGAAACTGTCTTTTTGTAGAATCTGTAAGTGGATGCGTGGACCTCTTTGAAGATTTCTTTGGAAACGGGAATATTTCCACAGAAAAACTAAACTGAAGCATTCTCAGAAACCGCTTTGTGATGTTTGTGTTCGAGCCGCAGAGTTTAACATTGCTTTTCATAGAGCAGTTTTGAAATATTCTTTTCGCAGAATCTGCAAGTGGACATTTGGAGCGCTTTCAGGCCTGTGGTGGAAAAGGCCTGAAAGCCTTTTCCTTTATCTTCACAGAAAGACGAGAGAGAAGCATTGTCAGAAACTTCTTTGTGATGATTGCATTCAACTCACAGAGTTGAAGATTCCTTTTGAAACAGCAGTTTCGAAACACTCTTTCTGTGGGATCCGCAAGGGGATATTTGGACCTCTTTGAAGGTTTCGTTGGAAACGGGATAATCTTCACCTAAAAGCTAAACGGAAGCATTCTCAGAAACTTCTTTGGGATGTTTGCATTCACCTCACAGAGTTGAACTTTCCCTTTGATAGCGCAGCTTTGACACACTTTTTCTACAATGTGCAAGTGGCTATTTAGCGGGCTTGGAGGACTGTGTTGGAAAAGGAAATATCTTCTCCTAAAAACGACATAGAAGCATTCTCAGAAACTGCTCTGTGATGATTGCATTCAACTCCCAGAGTTGAACATTCCTTTTGATAGAGCAGTTTGCAAACACTCTTTTTGTAGAATCTGCAAGTGGAGATTTGGACCGCTTTGAGGCCTGTGGTAGTGAAGGAAAGAACTTCATATAAAAACCAGACGGTAGCACTCTCAGAAAATTCTTTGTGACGATGGAGTTTAACTCAGGGAGCTGAACATTCGTTATGATGGAGCAGTTTCCAAACACACGTTTTGTAGAATCTGCAAGGGGATATTTGGACCTCTCTGAGGATTTCGTTGGAAACGGGATCAACTTCCCATAACTGAACGGAAGCAAACTCAGAACATTCTTTGTGATGTTTGTATTCAACTCACAGAGTTGAACCTTCCTTTGATAGTTCAGGTTTGCAACACCCTTGTAGTAGAATCTGAAAGTGTATATTTTGACCACTTTGTAGCCTTCGTTTGAAACATCTATATCTTCACATCAAACCTAGACAGAAGCATTCTCAGAAAGTTTTCTGCGATGACTGCATTCAACTCACAGAGTTGAACAATCCTTCTGATGGAGCAGTTTTGAAACCCTCTTTCTTTGGAATCTGCAAGGGGATATGTGGACCTCTTTGAAGATTTCACTGGAAACGGGATCATCTTCACATAAAAACTAAACTGAAGCATTCTCGGAAACTACTTTGTGATGTTTGTATTCAACTCCCAGAGTTGAACTTTCCTTTTGAAAGAGCAGCTATGAAACACTCTTTTTCGAGAATCTGCAAGTGGACGTTTGGAAGGCTTTGAGGCCTGTGGTGGAAAAGGAAATATCTTCACATAAAAACTAGATAGAAGCATTCTCAGAAACGACTTTGTGAGGATGGCATTCAACTCATGGAGTTGAACAATCCTATTGATAGAGCAGATTGGAATCACTCTTTTTGTAGAATCTGCAAATGGAGATTTGGACTGCTTTGAGGCCTACGGTAGTATAGGAAGGAACTTCATATAAAAGGCAAACGGAAGCATTCTCAGAATATTCTTTGTGATGATGGAGTTTCACTCACAGAGCTGAACATGCCTTTTGATGGAGCAGTTTCCAAATACACTTTTGGTAGAATCTGCAGGTGGATATTTGGACCTCTCTGAAGATTTCGTTGGAAACGGGAATAATTTCCCATACCTAAACACAAACACTCTGAGAAAGTTCTTCATGATGAATGCATTGAACTCGCAGAGATGAACCTGCCTTTGAGAGTTCAGGTTCGAAACACTCTTTCTGTAGAATCTGCAAGTGGATATTTGGACCACTGGGTGGCCTTCGTTCGAAACGGGTATATGTTCACGTAAAAACTAAAGAGAAGCATTCTCAGAAACTTCTGAGTGATGATTGCATTCAAGTCACACGGTTGAACCCTCCTTTTGATTGAGCAGTTTTGAAACTGTCTTTTTGTAGAATCTGTAAGTGGATACGTGGACCTCTTTGAAGATTTCTTTGGAAATGGGAATATTTCCACAGAAAAACTAAACTGAAGCATTCTCAGAAACTGCTTTGTGATGTTTGTGTTCGAGCCGCAGAGTTTAACATTGCTTTTCATAGAGCAGTTTTGAAATATTCTTTTGGCAGAATCTGCAAGTGGACATTTGGAGCGCTTTCAGGCCTGTGGTGGAAAAGGCCTGAAAGCCTTTTCCTTTATCTTCACAGAAAGACGAGAGAGAAGCATTGTCAGAAACTTCTTTGTGATGATTGCATTCAACCCACAGAGTTGAAGATTCCTTTTGAAACAGCAGTTTCGAAACACTCTTTCTGTGGGATCCGCAAGGGGATATTTGGACCTCTTTGAAGATTTCGTTGGAAACAGGATAATCTTCACCTAAAAGCTAAACGGAAGCATTCTCAGAAACTTCTTTGGGATGTTTGCATTCACCTCACAGAGTTGAACTTTCCCTTTGATAGCGCAGCTTCGACACACTTTTTCTACAATGTGCAAGTGGATATTTAGCGGGCTTGGAGGACTGTGTTGGAAAAGGAAATATCTTCTCCTAAAAACGACATAGAAGCATTCTCAGAAACTGCTCTGTGATGATTGCATTCAACTCCCAGAGTTGAACATTCCTTTTGATAGAGCAGTTTGCAAACACTCTTTTTGTAGAATCTGCAAGTGGAGATTTGGACCGCTTTGAGGCCTGTGGTAGTAAAGCAAAGAACTTCATATAAAAAGTAGACGGTAGCACTCTCAGAAAATTCTTTGTGACGATGGAGTTTAACTCAGAGAGCTGAACATTCGTTATGATGGAGCAGTTTCCAAACACACGTTTTGTAGAATCTGCAAGGGGATATTTGGACCTCTCTGAGGATTTCGTTGGAAACGGGATCAACTTCCCATAACTGAACGGAAGCAAACTCAGAACATTCTTTGTGATGTTTGCATTCGTCTCACAGAGTTGAACCTTCCTTTGATAGTTGAGGTTTGCAACACCCTTGTAGTAGAATCTGCAAGTGTATATTTTGACCACTTTGTAGCCTTCGTTTGAAACGTCTATATCTTCACATCAAACCTAGACAGAAGCATTCTCAGAAAGTTTTCTGCGATGACTGCATTCAACTCACAGAGTTGAACAATCCTTTTGATGGAGCAGTTTTGAAACCCTCTTTCTTTGGAATCTGCAAGGGGATATGTGGACCTCTTTGAAGATTTCACTGGAAACGGGATCATCTTCACATAAGAACTAAACAGAAGCATTCTCGGAAACTACTTTGTGATGTTTGTATTCAACTCCCAGAGTTGAACTTTCCTTTTGAAAGAGCAGCTATGAAACACTCTTTTTCGGGAATCTGCAAGTGGACGTTTGGAGGGCTTTGAGGCCTGTGGTGGAAAAGGAAATATCTTCACTTAAAAACTACATAGAAGCATTCTCAGAAACTACTTTGTGAGGATGGCATTCAACTCATGGAGTTGAACAATCCTATTGATAGAGCAGATTGGAATCACTCTTTTTGTAGAATCTGCAAATGGAGATTTGGACTGCTTTGAGGCCTACGGTAGTATAGGAAGGAACTTCATATAAAAGGCAAACGGAAGCATTCTCAGAATATTCTTTGTGATGACGGAGTTTCACTCACAGAGCTGAACATGCCTTTTCATGGAGCAGTTTCCAAATACACTTTTGGTAGAATCTGCAGGTGGATATTTGGAGCTCTCTGAGGATTTCGTTGGAAACGGGAATAATTTCCCATAACTAAACACAAACACGCTGAGAAAGTTCTTCATGATGAATGCATTTAACTCGCAGAGATGAACCTGCCTTTGAGAGTTCAGGTTCAAAACACTCTTTCTGTAGAATCTGCAAGTGGATATTTGGACCACTGGCTGGCCTTCATTCGAAACGGGTATATGTTCACGTAAAAACTAAAGAGAAGCGTTCTCAGAAACTTCTGAGTGATGAATGCATTCAAGTCACACAGTTGAACCCTCCTTTTGATTGAGCAGTTTTGAAACTGTCTTTTTGTAGAATCTGTAAGTGGATGCGTGGACCTCTTTGAAGATTTCTTTGGAAACGGGAATATTTCCACAGAAAAACTAAACTGAAGCATTCTCAGAAACTGCTTTGTGATGTTTGTGTTCGAGCCGCAGAGTTTAACATTGCTTTTCATAGAGCAGTTTTGAAATATTCTTTTGGCAGAATCTGCAAGTGGACATTTGGAGCGCTTTCAGGCCTGTGGTGGAAATGGCCTGAAAGCCTTTTCCTTTATCTTCACAGAAAGACGAGAGAGAAGCATTGTCAGAAACTTCTTTGTGATGATTGCATTCAACTCACAGAGTTGAAGATTCCTTTTGAAACAGCAGTTTCGAAACACTCTTTCTGTGGGATCCGCAAGGGGATATTTGGACCTCTTTGAAGATTTCGTTGGAAACGGAATAATCTTCACTTAAAGCTAAACGGAAGCATTCTCAGAAACTTCTTTGGGATGTTTGCATTCACCTCACAGAGTTGAACTTTCCCTTTGATAGCACAGCTTCGACACACTTTTTCTACAATGTGCAAGTGGATATATAGCGGGCTTGGAGGACTGTGTTGGAAAAGGATATATCTTCTCCTAAAAACGACATAGAAGCATTCTCAGAAACTGCTCTGTGATGATTGCATTCAACTCCCAGAGTTGAACATTCCTTTTGATAGAGCAGTTTGCAAACACTCTTTTTGTAGAATCTGCAAGTGGAGATTTGGACCGCTTTGAGGCCTGTGGTAGTAAAGGAAAGAACTTCATATAAAAACTAGACGGTAGCACTCTCAGAAAATTCTTTGTGACGATGGAGTTTAACTCAGAGAGCTGAACATTCGTTATGATGGAGCAGTTTCCAAACACACGTTTTGTAGAATCTGCAAGGGGATATTTGGACCTCTCTGAGGATTTCGTAGGAAACGGGATCAACTTCCCATAACTGAACGGAAGCAAACTCAGAACATTCTTTGTGATGTTTGTATTCAACTCACAGAGTTGAACCTTCCTTTGATAGTTGAGGTTTGCATCACCCTTGTAGTAGAATCTGCAAGTGTATATTTTGACCACTTTGTAGCCTTCGTTTGAAACGTCTATATCTTCACATCAAACCTAAACAGAAGCATTCTCAGAAAGTTTTCTGCGATGACTGCATTCAACTCACAGAGTTGAACAATCCTTTTGATGGAGCAGTTTTGAAACCCTCTTTCTTTGGAATCTGCAAGGGGATATGTGGACCTCTTTGAAGATTTCACTGGAAACGGGATCATCTTCACATAAGAACTAAACAGAAGCATTCTCGGAAACTACTTTGTGATGTTTGTATTCAACTCCCAGAGTTGAACTTTCCTTTTGAAAGAGCAGCTATGAAACACTCTTTTTCGAGAATCTGCAAGTGGACGTTTGGAGGGCTTTGAGGCCTGTGGTGGAAAAGGAAATATCTTCACATAAAAACTACATAGAAGCATTCTCAGAAACGACTTTGTGAGGATGGCATTCAACTCATGGAGTTGAACAATCCTATTGATAGAGCAGATTGGAATCACTCTTTTTGTAGAATCTGCAAATGGAGATTTGGACTGCTTTGAGGCCTACGGTAGTATAGGAAGGAACTTCATATAAAAGGCAAACGGAAGCATTCTCAGAATATTCTTTGTGATGATGGAGTTTCACTCACAGAGCTGAACATGCCTTTTGATGGAGCAGTTTCCAAATACACTTTTGGTAGAATCTGCAGGTGGATATTTGGAGCTCTCTGAGGATTTCGTTGGAAACGGGAATAATTTCCCATAACTAAACACAAACACTCTGAGAAAGTTCTTCATGATGAATGCATTTAACTCGCAGAGATGAACCTGCCTTTGAGAGTTCAGGTTCGAAACACTCTTTCTGTATAATCTGCAAGTGGATATTTGGACCACTGGGTGGCCTTCGTTCGAAACGGGTATATGTTCACGTAAAAACTAAAGAGAAGCATTCTCAGAAACTTCTGAGTGATGATTGCATTCAAGTCACACGGTTGAACCCTCCTTTTGATGGAGCAGTTTTGAAACTGTCTTTTTGTAGAATCTGTAAGTGGATACGTGGACCTCTTTGAAGATTTCTTTGGAAACGGGAATATTTCCACAGAAAAACTAAACTGAAGCATTCTCAGAAACTGCTTTGTGATGTTTGTGTTCGAGCCACAGAGTTTAACATTGCTTTTCATAGAGCAGTTTTGAAATATTCTTTTCGCAGAATCTGCAAGTGGACATTTGGAGCGCTTTCAGGCCTGTGGTGGAAAAGGCCTGAAAGCCTTTTCCTTTATCTTCACAGAAAGACGAGAGAGAAGCATTGTCAGAAACTTCTTTGTGATGATTGCATTCAACTCACAGAGTTGAAGATTCCTTTTGAAACAGCAGTTTCGAAACACTCTTTCTGTGGGATCCGCAAGGGGATATTTGGACCTCTTTGAAGATTTCGTTGGAAACGGGATAATTTTCACCTAAAAGCTAAACGGAAGCATTCTCAGAAACTTCTTTGGGATGTTTGCATTCACCTCACAGAGTTGAACTTTCCCTTTGATAGCGCAGCTTCGACACACTTTTTCTACAATGTGCAAGTGGATATTTAGCGGGCTTGGAGGACTGTGTTGGAAAAGGAAATATCTTCTCCTAAAAACGACATAGAAGCATTCTCAGAAACTGCTCTGTGATGATTGCATTCAACTCCCAGAGTTGAACATTCCTTTTGATAGAGCAGTTTGCAAACACTGTTTTTGTAGAATCTGCAAGTGGAGATTTGGACCGCTTTGAGGCCTGTGGTAGTAAAGGAAAGAACTTCATATAAAAACCAGACGGTAGCACTCTCAGAAAATTCTTTGTGACGATGGAGTTTAACTCAGAGAGCTGAACATTCGTTATGATGGAGCAGTTTCCAAACACACGTTTCGTAGAATCTGCAAGGGGATATTTGGACCTCTCTGAGGATTTCGTTGGAAACGGGATCAACTTCCCATAACTGAACGGAAGCAAACTCAGAACATTCTTTGTGATGTTTGTATTCAACTCACAGAGTTGAACCTTCCTTTGATAGTTGAAGTTTGCAACACCCTTGTAGTAGAATCTGCAAGTGTATATTTTGACCACTTTGTAGCCTTCGTTTGAAACGTCTATATCTTCACCTCAAACCTAGACAGAAGCATTCTCAGAAAGTTTTCTGCGATGACTGCATTCAACTCACAGAGTTGAACAATCCTTTTGATGGAGCAGTTTTGAAACCCTCTTTCTTTGGAATCTGCAAGGGGATATGTGGACCTCTTTGAAGATTTCACTGGAAACGGGATCATCTTCACATAAGAACTAAACAGAAGCATTCTCGGAAACTACTTTGTGATGTTTGTATTCAACTCCCAGAGTTGAACTTTCCTTTTGAAAGAGCAGCTATGAAACACTCTTTTTCGAGAATCTGCAAGTGGACGTTTGGAGGGCTTTGAGGCCTGTGGTGGAAAAGGAAATATCTTCACATAAAAACTAGATAGAAGCATTCTCAGAAACGACTTTGTGAGGATGGCATTCAACTCATGGAGTTGAACAATCCTATTGATAGAGCAGATTGGAATCACTCTTTTTGTAGAATCTGCAAATGAAGATTTGGACTGCTTTGAGGCCTACGGTAGTATAGGAAGGAGCTTCATATAAAAGGCAAACGGAAGCATTCTCAGAATATTCGTTGTGATGATGGAGTTTCACTCACAGAGCTGAACATGCCTTTTGATGGAGCAGTTTCCAAATACACTTTTGGTAGAATCTGCAGGTGGATATTTGGAGCTCTCTGAGGATTTCGTTGGAAACGGGAATAATTTCCCATAACTAAACACAAACACTCTGAGAAAGTTCTTCATGATGAATGCATTTAACTCGCAGAGATGAACCTGCCTTTGAGAGTTCAGGTTCGAAACACTCTTTCTGTAGAATCTGCAAGTGGATATTTGGACCACTGGCTGGCCTTCGTTCGAAACGGGTATATGTTCACGTAAAAACTAAAGAGAAGCATTCTCAGAAACTTCTGAGTGATGATTGCATTCAAGTCACACAGTTGAACCCTCCTTTTGATGGAGCAGTTTTGAAACTGTCTTTTTGTAGAATCTGTAAGTGGATGCGTGGACCTCTTTGAAGATTTCTTTGGAAACGGGAATATTTCCACAGAAAAACTAAACTGAAGCATTCTCAGAAACCGCTTTGTGATGTTTGTGTTCGAGCCGCAGAGTTTAACATTGCTTTTCATAGAGCAGTTTTGAAATATTCTTTTGGCAGAATCTGCAAGTGGACATTTGGAGCGCTTTCAGGCCTGTGGTGGCAAAGGCCTGAAAGCCTTTTCCTTTATCTTCACAGAAAGACGAGAGAGAAGCATTGTCAGAAACTTCTTTGTGATGATTGCATTCAACTCACAGAGTTGAAGATTCCTTTTGAAACAGCAGTTTCGAAACACTCTTTCTGTGGGATCCGCAAGGGGATATTTGGACCTCTTTGAAGGTTTCGTTGGAAACGGGATAATCTTCACCTAAAAGCTAAACGGAAGCATTCTCAGAAACTTCTTTGGGATGTTTGCATTCACCTCACAGAGTTGAACTTTCCCTTTGATAGCGCAGCTTTGACACACTTTTTCTACAATGTGCAAGTGGCTATTTAGCGGGCTTGGAGGACTGTGTTGGAAAAGGAAATATCTTCTCCTAAAAACGACATAGAAGCATTCTCAGAAACTGCTCTGTGATGATTGCATTCAACTCCCAGGGTTGAACATTCCTTTTGATAGAGCAGTTTGCAAACACTCTTTTTGTAGAATCTGCAAGTGGAGATTTGGACCGCTTTGAGGCCTGTGGTAGTGAAGGAAAGAACTTCATATAAAAACCAGACGGTAGCACTCTCAGAAAATTCTTTGTGACGATGGAGTTTAACTCAGGGAGCTGAACATTCCTTATGATGGAGCAGTTTCCAAACACATGTTTTGTAGAATCTGCAAGGGGATATTTGGACCTCTCTGAGGATTTCGTTGGAAACGGGATCAACTTCCCATAACTGAACGGAAGCAAACTCAGAACATTCTTTGTGATGTTTGTATTCAACTCACAGAGTTGAACCTTCCTTTGATAGTTCAGGTTTGCAACACCCTTGTAGTAGAATCTGCAAGTGTATATTTTGACCACTTTGTAGCCTTCGTTTGAAACGTCTATATCTTCACATCAAACCTAGACAGAAGCATTCTCAGAAAGTTTTCTGCGATGACTGCATTCAACTCACAGAGTTGAACAATCCTTCTGATGGAGCAGTTTTGAAACCCTCTTTCTTTGGAATCTGCAAGGGGATATGTGGACCTCTTTGAAGATTTCACTGGAAACGGGATCATCTTCACATAAAAACTAAACAGAAGCATTCTCGGAAACTATTTTGTGATGTTTGTATTCAACTCCCAGAGTTGAACTTTCCTTTTGAAAGAGCAGCTATGAAACACTCTTTTTCGAGAATCTGCAAGTGGACGTTTGGAGGGATTTGAGTCCTGTGGTGGAAAAGGAAATATCTTCACACAAAAACCAGATAGAAGCATTCTCAGAAACTACTTTGTGAGGATGGCATTCAACTCATGGAGTTGAACAATCCTATTGATAGAGCAGATTGGAATCACTCTTTTTGTAGAATCTGCAAATGGAGATTTGGACTGCTTTGAGGCCTACGGTAGTATAGGAAGGAACTTCATATAAAAGGCAAACGGAAGCATTCTCAGAATATTCTTTGTGATGATGGAGTTTCACTCACAGAGCTGAACATGCCTTTTGATGGAGCAGTTTCCAAATACACTTTTGGTAGAATCTGCAGGTGGATATTTGGAGCTCTCTGAGGATTTCGTTGGAAACGGGAATAATTTCCCATAACTAAACACAAACACTCTGAGAAAGTTCTTCATGATGAATGCATTGAACTCGCAGAGATGAACCTGCCTTTGAGAGTTCAGGTTCGAAACACTCTTTCTGTAGAATCTGCAAGTGGATATTTGGACCACTGGGTGGCCTTCGTTCTAAACGGGTATATGTTCACGTAAAAACTAAAGAGAAGCATTCTCAGAAACTTCTGAGTGATGATTGCATTCAAGTCACACAGTTGAACCCTCCTTTTGATGGAGCAGTTTTGAAACTGTCTTTTTGTAGAATCTGTAAGTGGATACGTGGACCTCTTTGAAGATTTCTTTGGAAACGGGAATATTTCCACAGAAAAACTAAACTGAAGCATTCTCAGAAACCGCTTTGTGATGTTTGTGTTCGAGCCACAGAGTTTAACATTGCTTTTCATAGAGCAGTTTTGAAATATTCTTTTGGCAGAATCTGCAAGTGGACATTTGGAGCGCTTTCAGGCCTGTGGTGGAAAAGGCCTGAAAGCCTTTTCTTTATCTTCACAGAAAGACGAGAGAGAAGCATTGTCAGAAACTTCTTTTTGATGATTGCATTCAACTCACAGAGTTGAAGATTCCTTTTGAAACAGCAGTTTCGAAACACTCTTTCTGTGGGATCCGCAAGGGGATATTTGGACCTCTTTGAAGGTTTCGTTGGAAACGGGATAATCTTCACCTAAAAGCTAAACGGAAGCATTCTCAGAAACTTCTTTGGGATGTTTGCATTCACCTCACAGAGTTGAACTTTCCCTTTGATAGCGCAGCTTTGACACACTTTTTCTACAATGTGCAAGTGGCTATTTAGCGGGCTTGGAGGATTGTGTTGGAAAAGGAAATATCTTCTCCTAAAAACGACATAGAAGCATTCTCAGAAACTGCTCTGTGATGATTGCATTCAACTCCCAGAGTTGAACATTCCTTTTGATAGAGCAGTTTGCAAACACTCTTTTTGTAGAATCTGCAAGTGGAGATTTGGACCGCTTTGAGGCCTGTGGTAGTGAAGGAAAGAACTTCATATAAAAACCAGACGGTAGCACTCTCAGAAAATTCTTTGTGACGATGGAGTTTAACTCAGGGAGCTGAACATTCGTTATGATGGAGCAGTTTCCAAACACACGTTTTGTAGAATCTGCAAGGGGATATTTGGACCTCTCTGAGGATTTCGTTGGAAACGGGATCAACTTCCCATAACTGAACGGAAGCAAACTCAGAACATTCTTTGTGATGTTTGTATTCAACTCACAGAGTTGAACCTTCCTTTGATAGTTCAGGTTTGCAACACCCTTGTAGTAGAATCTGCAAGTGTATATTTTGACCACTTTGTAGCCTTCGTTTGAAACGTCTATATCTTCACATCAAACCTAGACAGAAGCATTCTCAGAAAGTTTTCTGCGATGACTGCATTCAACTCACAGAGTTGAACAATCCTTCTGATGGAGCAGTTTTGAAACCCTCTTTCTTTGGAATCTGCAAGGGGATATGTGGACCTCTTTGAAGATTTCACTGGAAACGGGATCATCTTCACATAAAAACTAAACAGAAGCATTCTCAGAAACTATTTTGTGATGTTTGTATTCAACTCCCAGAGTTGAACTTTCCTTTTGAAAGAGCAGCTATGAAACACTCTTTTTCGAGAATCTGCAAGTGGACGTTTGGAGGGCTTTGAGGCCTGTGGTGGAAAAGGAAATATCTTCACACAAAAACCAGATAGAAGCATTCTCAGAAACTACTTTGTGAGGATGGCATTCAACTCATGGAGTTGAACAATCCTATTGATAGAGCAGATTGGAATCACTCTTTTTGTAGAATCTGCAAATGGAGATTTGGACTGCTTTGAGGCCTACAGTAGTACAGGAAGGAACTTCATATAAAAGGCAAACGGAAGCATTCTCAGAATATTCTTTGTGATGATGGAGTTTCACTCACAGAGCTGAACATGCCTTTTGATGGAGCAGTTTCCAAATACACTTTTGGTAGAATCTGCAGGTGGATATTTGGAGCTCTCTGAGGATTTCGTTGGAAACGGGAATAATTTCCCATAACTAAACACAAACACTCTGAGAAAGTTCTTCATGATGAATGCATTTAACTCACAGAGATGAACCTGCCTTTGAGAGTTCAGGTTCGAAACACTCTTTCTGTAGAATCTGCAAGTGGATATTTGGACCACTGGGTGGCCTTCGTTCGAAACGGGTATATGTTCACGTAAAAACTAAAGAGAAGCATTCTCAGAAACTTCTGAGTGATGATTGCATTCAAGTCACACAGTTGAACCCTCCTTTTGATGGAGCAGTTTTGAAACTGTCTTTTTGTAGAATCTGTAAGTGGATACGTGGACCTCTTTGAAGATTTCTTTGGAAACGGGAATATTTCCACAGAAAAACTAAACTGAAGCATTCTCAGAAACTGCTTTGTGATGTTTGTGTTCGAGCCACAGAGTTTAACATTGCTTTTCATAGAGCAGTTTTGAAATATTCTTTTGGCAGAATCTGCAAGTGGACATTTGGAGCGCTTTCAGGCCTGTGGTGGAAAAGGCCTGAAAGCCTTTTCCTTTATCTTCACAGAAAGACGAGAGAGAAGCATTGTCAGAAACTTCTTTGTGATGATTGCATTCAACTCACAGAGTTGAAGATTCCTTTTGAAACAGCTGTTTCGAAACACTCTTTCTGTGGGATCCGCAAGGGGATATTTGGACCTCTTTGAAGGTTTTCGTTGGAAACGGGATAATCTTCACCTAAAAGCTAAACGGAAGCATTCTCAGAAACTTCTTTGGGATGTTTGCATTCACCTCACAGAGTTGAACTTTCCCTTTGATAGCGCAGCTTCGACACATTTTTTCTACAATGTGCAAGTGGATATTTAGCGGGCTTGGAGGACTGTGTTGGAATAGGAAATATCTTCTCCTAAAAACGACATAGAAGCATTCTCAGAAACTGCTCTGTGATGATTGCATTCAACTCCCAGAGTTGAACATTCCTTTTGATAGAGCAGTTTGCAAACACTCTTTTTGTAGAATCTGCAAGTGGAGATTTGGACCGCTTTGAGGCCTGTGGTAGTAAAGGAAAGAACTTCATATAAAAACTAGACGGTAGCACTCTCAGAAAATTCTTTGTGACGATGGAGTTTAACTCAGAGAGCTGAACATTCGTTATGATGGAGCAGTTTCCAAACACACGTTTTGTAGAATCTGCAAGGGGATATTTGGACCTCTCTGAGGATTTCGTTGGAAACGGGATCAACTTCCCATAACTGAACGGAAGCAAACTCAGAACATTCTTTGTGATGTTTGTATTCAACTCACAGAGTTGAACCTTCCTTTGATAGTTCAGGTTTGCAACACCCTTGTAGTAGAATCTGCAAGTGTATATTTTGACCACTTTGTAGCCTTCGTTTGAAACGTCTATATCTTCACATCAAACCTAGACAGAAGCATTCTCAGAAAGTTTTCTGCGATGACTGCATTCAACTCACAGAGTTGAACAATCCTTTTGATGGAGCAGTTTTGAAACCCTCTTTCTTTGGAATCGGCAAGGGGATATGTGGACCTCTTTGAAGATTTCACTGGAAACGGGATCATCTTCACATAAGAACTAAACAGAAGCATACTGGGAAACTACTTTGTGATGTTTGTATTCAACTCCCAGAGTTGAACTTTCCTTTTGAAGGGCAGGTATGAAACACTCTTTTTCGAGAATCTGCAAGTGGACGTTTGGAGGGCTTTGAGGCCTGTGGTGGAAAAGGAAATATCTTCACATAAAAACTAGATAGAAGCATTCTCAGAAACTACTTTATGAGGATGGCATTCGACTCATGGAGTTGAACAATCCTATTGATAGAGCAGATTGGAATCACTCTTTTTGTAGAATCTGCAAATGGAGATTTGGACTGCTTTGAGGCCTACGGTAGTATAGGAAGGAACTTCATATAAAAGGCAAACGGAAGCATTCTCAGAATATTCTTTGTGATGATGGAGTTTCACTCACAGAGCTGAACATGCCTTTTGATGGAGCAGTTTCCAAATACACTTTTGGTAGAATCTGCAGGTGGATATTTGGACCTCTCTGAGGATTTCGTTGGAAACGGGAATAATTTCCCATAACTAAACACAAACACTCTGAGAAAGTTCTTCATGATGAATGCATTTAACTCGCAGAGATGAACCTGCCTTTGAGAGTTCAGGTTCGAAACACTCTTTCTGTAGAATCTGCAAGTGGATATTTGGACCACTGGGTGGCCTTCGTTCGAAACGGGTATATGTTCACGTAAAAACTAAAGAGAAGCATTCTCAGAAACTTCTGAGTGATGATTGCATTCAAGTCACACAGTTGAACCCTCCTTTTGATGGAGCAGTTTTGAAACTGTCTTTTTGTAGAATCTGTAAGTGGATACGTGGACCTCTTTGAAGATTTCTTTGGAAACGGGAATATTTCCACAGAAAAACTAAACTGAAGCATTCTCAGAAACTGCTTTGTGATGTTTGTGTTCGAGCCACAGAGTTTAACATTGCTTTTCATAGAGCAGTTTTGAAATATTCTTTTCGCAGAATCTACAAGTGGACATTTGGAGCGCTTTCAGGCCTGTGGTGGAAAAGGCCTGAAAGCCTTTTCCTTTATCTTCACAGAAAGACGAGAGAGAAGCATTGTCAGAAACTTCTTTGTGATGATTGCATTCAACTCACAGAGTTGAAGATTCCTTTTGAAACAGCAGTTTCGAAACACTCTTTCTGTGGGATCCGCAAGGGGATATTTGGACCTCTTTGAAGGTTTCGTTGGAAACGGGATAATCTTCACCTAAAAGCTAAACGGAAGCACTCTCAGAAACTTCTTTGGGATGTTTGCATTCACCTCACAGAGTTGAACTTTCCCTTTGATAGCGCAGCTTTGACACACTTTTTCTACAATGTGCAAGTGACTATTTAGCGGGCTTGGAGGACTGTGTTGGAAAAGGAAATATCTTCTCCTAAAAACGACATAGAAGCATTCTCAGAAACTGCTCTGTGATGATTGCATTCAACTCCCAGAGTTGAACATTCCTTTTGATAGAGCAGTTTGCAAACACTCTTTTTGTAGAATCTGCAAGTGGAGATTTGGACCGCTTTGAGGCCTGGGGTAGTGAAGGAAAGAGCTTCATATAAAAACCAGACGGTAGCACTCTCAGAAAATTCTTTGTGACGATGGAGTTTAACTCAGGGAGCTGAACATTCGTTATGATGGAGCAGTTTCCAAACACACGTTTTGTAGAATCTGCAAGGGGATATTTGGACCTCTCTGAGGATTTCGTTGGAAACGGGATCAACTTCCCATAACTGAACGGAAGCAAACTCAGAACATTCTTTGTGATGTTTGTATTCAACTCACAGAGTTGAACCTTCCTTTGATAGTTCAGGTTTGCAACACCCTTGTAGTAGAATCTGCAAGTGTATATTTTGACCACTTTGTAGCCTTCGTTTGAAACGTCTATATCTTCACATCAAACCTAGAAAGAAGCATTCTCAGAAAGTTTTCTGCGATGACTGCATTCAACTCACAGAGTTGAACAATCCTTCTGATGGAGCAGTTTTGAAACCCTCTTTCTTTGGAATCTGCAAGGGGATATGTGGACCTCTTTGAAGATTTCACTGGAAACGGGATCATCTTCACATAAAAACTAAACAGAAGCATTCTCGGAAACTACTTTGTGATGTTTGTATTCAACTGCCAGAGTTGAACTTTCCTTTTGAAAGAGCAGCTATGAAACACTCTTTTTCGAGAATCTGCAAGTGGACGTTTGGAGGGCTTTGAGGCCTGTGGTGGAAAAGGAAATATCTTCACATAAAAACTAGATAGAAGCATTCTCAGAAACGACTTTGTGAGGATGGCATTCAACTCATGGAGTTGAACAATCCTATTGACAGAGCAGATTGGAATCACTCTTTTTGTAGAATCTGCAAATGGAGATTTGGACTGCTTTGAGGCCTACGGTCGTATAGGAAGGAAGTTCATATAAAAGGCAAACGGAAGCATTCTCAGAATATTCTTTGTGATGATGGAGTTTCACTCACAGAGCTGAACATGCCTTTTGATGGAGCAGTTTCCAAATACACTTTTGGTAGAATCTGCAGGTGGATATTTGGAGCTCTCTGAGGATTTCGTTGGAAACGGGAATAATTTCCCATAACTAAACACAAACACTCTGAGAAAGTTCTTCATGATGAATGCATTTAACTCGCAGAGATGAACCTGCCTTTGAGAGTTCAGGTTCGAAACACTCTTTCTGTAGAATCTGCAAGTGGATATTTGGACCACTGGCTGGCCTTCGTTCGAAACGGGTATATGTTCACGTAAAAACTAAAGAGAAGCATTCTCAGAAACTTCTGAGTGATGATTACATTCAAGTCACACAGTTGAACCCTCCTTTTGATTGAGCAGTTTTGAAACTGTCTTTTTGTAAAATCTGTAAGTGGATACGTGGACCTCTTTGAATATTTCTTTGGAAACGGGAATATTTCCACAGAAAAACTAAACTGAAGCATTCTCAGAAACTGCTTTGTGATGTTTGTGTTCGAGCCACAGAGTTTAACATTGCTTTTCATAGAGCAGTTTTGAAATATTCTTTTGGCAGAATCTGCAAGTGGACATTTGGAGCGCTTTCAGGCCTGTGGTTGAAAAGGCCTGAAAGCCTTTTCCTTTATCTTCACAGAAAGACGAGAGAGAAGCATTGTCAGAAACTTCTTTGTGATGATTGCATTCAACTCACAGAGTTGAAGATTCCTTTTGAAACAGCAGTTTCGAAACACTCTTTCTGTGGGATCCGCAAGGGGATATTTGGACCTCTTTGAAGCTTTCGTTGGAAACGGGATAATCTTCACCTAAAAGCTAAACGGAAGCACTCTCAGAAACTTCTTTGGGATGTTTGCATTCACCTCACAGAGTTGAACTTTCCCTTTGATAGCGCAGCTTTGACACACTTTTTCTACAATGTGCAAGTGGATATTTAGCGGGCGTGGAGGACTGTGTTGGAAAAGGAAATATCTTCTCCTAAAAACGACATAGAAGCATTCTCAGAAACTGCTCTGTGATGATTGCATTCAACTCCCAGGGTTGAACATTCCTTTTGATAGAGCAGTTTGCAAACACTCTTTTTGTAGAATCTGCAAGTGGAGATTTGGACCGCTTTGAGGCCTATGGTAGTAAAGGAAAGAACTTCATATAAAAACCAGACGGTAGCACTCTCAGAAAATTCTTTGTGACGATGGAGTTTAACTCAGGGAGCTGAACATTCGTTATGATGGAGCAGTTTCCCAACACACGTTTTGTAGAATCTGCAAGGGGATATTTGGACCTCTCTGAGGATTTTGTTGGAAAAGGGATCAACTTCCCATAACTGAACGGAAGCAAACTCAGAACATTCTTTGTGATGTTTGTATTCAACTCACAGAGTTGAACCTTCCATTGATAGTTCAGGTTTGCAACACCCTTGTAGTAGAATCTGCAAGTGTATATTTTGACCACTTTGTAGCCCTTCGTTTGAAACGTCTATATCTTCACATCAAACCTAGACAGAAGCATTCTCAGAAAGTTTTCTGCGATGACTGCATTCAACTCACAGAGTTGAACAATCCTTCTGATGGAGCAGTTTTGAAACCCTCTTTCTTTGGAATCTGCAAGGGGATATGTGGACCTCTTTGAAGATTTCACTGGAAACGGGATCATCTTCACATAAAAACTAAACAGAAGCATTCTCGGAAACTACTTTGTGATGTTTGTATTCAACTCCCAGAGTTGAACTTTCCTTTTGAAAGAGCAGCTATGAAACACTCTTTTTCGAGAATCTGCAAGTGGACGTTTGGAGGGCTTTGAGGCCTGTGGTGGAAAAGGAAATATCTTCACATAAAAACTAGATAGAAGCATTCTCAGAAACGACTTTGGAGGATGGCATTCAACTCATGGAGTTGAACAATCCTATTGATAGAGCAGATTGGAATCACTCTTTTTGTAGAATCTGCAAATGGAGATTTGGACTGCTTTGAGGCCTACGGTCGTATAGGAAGGAACTTCAGATAAAAGGCAAACGGAAGCATTCTCAGAATATTCTTTGTGATGATGGAGTTTCACTCACAGAGCTGAACATGCCTTTTGATGGAGCAGTTTCCAAATACACTTTTGGTAGAATCTGCAGGTGGATATTTGGAGCTCTCTGAGGATTTCGTTGGAAACGGGAATAATTTCCCATAACTAAACACAAACACTCTGAGAAAGTTCTTCATGATGAATGCATTTAACTCGCAGAGATGAACCTGCCTTTGAGAGTTCAGGTTCGAAACACTCTTTCTGTAGAATCTGCAAGTGGATATTTGGACCACTGGGTGGCCTTCGTTCGAAACGGGTATATGTTCACGTAAAAACTAAAGAGAAGCATTCTCAGAAACTTCTGAGTGATGATTGCATTCAAGTCACACAGTTGAACCCTCCTTTTGATGGAGCAGTTTTGAAACTGTCTTTTTGTAGAATCTGTAAGTGGATACGTGGACCTCTTTGAAGATTTCTTTGGAAACGGGAATATTTCCACAGAAAAACTAAACTGAAGCATTCTCAGAAACCGCTTTGTGATGTTTGTGTTCGAGCCACAGAGTTTAACATTGCTTTTCACAAAGCAGTTTTGAAATATTCTTTTGGCAGAATCTGCAAGTGGACATTTGGAGCGCTTTCAGGCCTGTGGTGGCAAAGGCCTGAAAGCATTTATTTATCTTCACAGAAAGACGAGAGAGAAGCATTGTCAGAAACTTCTTTGTGATGATTGCATTCAACTCACAGAGTTGAAGATTCCTTTTGAAACAGCAGTTTCGAAACACTCTTTCTGTGGGATCCGCAAGGGGATATTTGGACCTCTTTGAAGGTTTCGTTGGAAACGGGATAATCTTCACCTAAAAGCTAAACGGAAGCATTCTCAGAAACTTCTTTGGGATGTTTGCATTCACCTCACAGAGTTGAACTTTCCCTTTGATAGCGCAGCTTTGACACACTTTTTCTACAATGTGCAAGTGGCTATTTAGCGGGCTTGGAGGACTGTGTTGGAAAAGGAAATATCTTCTCCTAAAAACGACATAGAAGCATTCTCAGAAACTGCTCTGTGATGATTGCATTCAACTCCCAGAGTTGAACATTCCTTTTGATAGAGCAGTTTGCAAACACTCTTTTTGTAGAATCTGCAAGTGGAGATTTGGACCGCTTTGAGGCCTGTGGTAGTGAAGGAAAGAACTTCATATAAAAACCAGACGGTAGCACTCTCAGAAAATTCTTTGTGACGATGGAGTTTAACTCAGGGAGCTGAACATTCGTTATGATGGAGCAGTTTCCAAACACACGTTTTGTAGAATCTGCAAGGGGATATTTGGACCTCTCTGAGGATTTCGTTGGAAACGGGATCAACTTCCCATAACTGAACGGAAGCAAACTCAGAACATTCTTTGTGATGTTTGTATTCAACTCACAGAGTTGAACCTTCCTTTGATAGTTCAGGTTTGCAACACCCTTGTAGTAGAATCTGCAAGTGTATATTTTGACCACTTTGTAGCCTTCGTTTGAAATATCTATATCTTCACATCAAACATAGACAGAAGCATTCTCAGAAAGTTTTCTGCGATGACTGCATTCAACTCACAGAGTTGAACAATCCTTCTGATGGAGCAGTTTTGAAACCCTCTTTCTTTGGAATCTGCAAGGGGATATGTGGACCTCTTTGAAGATTTCACTGGAAACGGGATCATCTTCACATAAAAACTAAACAGAAGCATTCTCGGAAACTACTTTGTGATGTTTGTATTCAACTCCCAGAGTTGAACTTTCCTTTTGAAAGAGCAGCTATGAAACACTCTTTTTCGAGAATCTGCAAGTGGACGTTTGGAGGGCTTTGAGGCCTGTGGTGGAAAAGGAAATATCTTCACATAAAAACTAGATAGAAGCATTCTCAGAAACTACTTTGTGAGGATGGCATTCAACTCATGGAGTTGAACAATCCTATTGATAGAGCAGATTGGAATCACTCTTTTTGTAGAATCTGCAAATGGAGATTTGGACTGCTTTGAGGCCTACGGTCGTATAGGAAGGAACTTCATATAAAAGGCAAACGGAAGCATTCTCAGAATATTCTTTGTGATGATGGAGTTTCACTCACAGAGCTGAACATGCCTTTTGATGGAGCAGTTTCCAAATACACTTTTGGTAGAATCTGCAGGTGGATATTTGGAGCTCTCTGAGGATTTCGTTGGAAACGGGAATAATTTCCCATAACTAAACACAAACACTCTGTGAAAGTTCTTCATGATGAATGCATTTAACTCGCAGAGATGAACCTGCCTTTGAGAGTTCAGGTTCGAAACACTCTTTCTGTAGAATCTGCAAGTGGATATTTGGACCACTGGCTGGCCTTCGTTCGAAACGGGTATATGTTCACGTAAAAACTAAAGAGAAGCATTCTCAGAAACTTCTGAGTGATGATTGCATTCAAGTCACACAGTTGAACCCTCCTTTTGATGGAGCAGTTTTGAAACTGTCTTTTTGTAGAATCTGTAAGTGGATACGTGGACCTCTTTGAAGATTTCTTTGGAAACGGGAATATTTCCACAGAAAAACTAAACTGAAGCATTCTCAGAAACCGCTTTGTGATGTTTGTGTTCGAGCCACAGAGTTTAACATTGCTTTTCATAGAGCAGTTTTGAAATATTCTTTTCGCAGAATCTGCAAGTGGACATTTGGAGCGCTTTCAGGCCTGTGGTGGAAAAGGCCTGAAAGCCTTTTCCTTTATCTTCACAGAAAGACGAGAGAGAAGCATTGTCAGAAACTTCTTTGTGATGATTGCATTCAACTCACAGAGTTGAAGATTCCTTTTGAAACAGCAGTTTCGAAACACTCTTTCTGTGGGATCCGCAAGGGGATATTTGGACCTCTTTGAAGGTTTCGTTGGAAACGGGATAATCTTCACCTAAAAGCTAAACGGAAGCATTCTCAGAAATTTCTTTGGGATGTTTGCATTCACCTCACAGAGTTGAACTTTCCCTTTGATAGCGCAGCTTTGACACACTTTTTCTACAATGTGCAAGTGGCTATTTAGCGGGCTTGGAGGACTGTGTTGGAAAAGGAAATATCTTCTCCTAAAAACGACATAGAAGCATTCTCAGAAACTGCTCTGTGATGATTGCATTCAACTCCCAGAGTTGAACATTCCTTTTGATAGAGCAGTTTGCAAACACTCTTTTTGTAGAATCTGCAAGTGGAGATTTGGACCGCTTTGAGGCCTGTGGTAGTGAAGGAAAGAACTTCATATAAAAACCAGACGGTAGCACTCTCAGAAAATTCTTTGTGACGATGGAGTTTAACTCAGGGAGCTGAACATTCGTTATGATGGAGCAGTTTCCAAACACACGTTTTGTAGAATCTGCAAGGGGATATTTGGACCTCTCTGAGGATTTCGTTGGAAACGGGATCAACTTCCCATAACTGAACGGAAGCAAACTCAGAACATTCTTTGTGATGTTTGTATTCAATTCACAGAGTTGAACCTTCCTTTGATAGTTCACGTTTGCAACACCCTTGTAGTAGAATCTGCAAGTGTATATTTTGACCACTTTGTAGCCTTCGTTTGAAACGTCTATATCTTCACATCAAACCTAGACAGAAGCATTCTCAGAAAGTTTTCTGCGATGACTGCATTCAACTCACAGAGTTGAACAATCCTTCTGATGGAGCAGTTTTGAAACCCTCTTTCTTTGGAATCTGCAAGGGGATATGTGGACCTCTTTGAAGATTTCACTGGAAACGGGATCATCTTCACATAAAAACTAAACAGAAGCATTCTCGGAAACTATTTTGTGATGTTTGTATTCAACTCCCAGAGTTGAACTTTCCTTTTGAAAGAGCAGCTATGAAACACTCTTTTTCGAGAATCTGCAAGTGGACGTTTGGAGGGCTTTGAGGCCTGTGGTGGAAAAGGAAATATCTTCACACAAAAACCAGATAGAAGCATTCTCAGAAACTACTTTGTGAGGATGGCATTCAACTCATGGAGTTGAACAATCCTATTGATAGAGCAGATTGGAATCACTCTTTTTGTAGAATCTGCAAATGGAGATTTGGACTGCTTTGAGGCCTACAGTAGTACAGGAAGGAACTTCATATAAAAGGCAAACGGAAGCATTCTCAGAATATTCTTTGTGATGATGGAGTTTCACTCACAGAGCTGAACATGCCTTTTGATGGAGCAGTTTCCAAATACACTTTTGGTAGAATCTGCAGGTGGATATTTGGAGCTCTCTGAGGATTTCGTTGGAAACGGGAATAATTTCCCATAACTAAACACAAACACTCTGAGAAAGTTCTTCATGATGAATGCATTTAACTCGCAGAGATGAACCTGCCTTTGAGAGTTCAGGTTCGAAACACTCTTTCTGTAGAATCTGCAAGTGGATATTTGGACCACTGGGTGGCCTTCGTTCGAAACGGGTATATGTTCACGTAAAAACTAAAGAGAAGCATTCTCAGAAACTTCTGAGTGATGATTGCATTCAAGTCACACAGTTGAACCCTCCTTTTGATGGAGCAGTTTTGAAACTGTCTTTTTGTAGAATCTGTAAGTGGATACGTGGACCTCTTTGAAGATTTCTTTCGAAACGGGAGTATTTCCACAGAAAATCTAAACTGAAGCATTCTCAGAAACTGCTTTGTGATGTTTGTGTTCGAGCCACAGAGTTTAACATTGCTTTTCATAGAGCAGTTTTGAAATATTCTTTTGGCAGAATCTGCAAGTGGACATTTGGAGCGCTTTCAGGCCTGTGGTGGAAAAGGCCTGAAAGCCTTTTCCTTTATCTTCACAGGAAGACGAGAGAGAAGCATTGTCAGAAACTTCTTTGTGATGATTGCATTCAACTCACAGAGTTGAAGATTCCTTTTGAAACAGCAGTTTCGAAACACTCTTTCTGTGGGATCCGCAAGGGGATATTTGGACCTCTTTGAAGCTTTCGTTGGAAACGGGATAATCTTCACCTAAAAGCTAAACGGAAGCACTCTCAGAAACTTCTTTGGGATGTTTGCATTCACCTCACAGAGTTGAACTTTCCCTTTGATAGCGCAGCTTTGACACACTTTTTCTACAATGTGCAAGTGGATATTTAGCGGGCGTGGAGGACTGTGTTGGAAAAGGAAATATCTTCTCCTAAAAACGACATAGAAGCATTCTCAGAAACTGCTCTGTGATGATTGCATTCAACTCCCAGGGTTGAACATTCCTTTTGATAGAGCAGTTTGCAAACACTCTTTTTGTAGAATCTGCAAGTGGAGGTTTGGACCGCTTTGAGGCCTATGGTAGTAAAGGAAAGAACTTCATATAAAAACCAGACGGTAGCACTCTCAGAAAATTCTTTGTGACGATGGAGTTTAACTCAGGGAGCTGAACATTCGTTATGATGGAGCAGTTTCCAAACACACGTTTTGTAGAATCTGCAAGGGGATATTTGGACCTCTCTGAGGATTTCGCTGGAAACGGGATCAACTTCCCATAACTGAACAGAAGCAAACTCAGAACATTCTTTGTGATGTTTGTATTCAACTCACAGAGTTGAACCTTCCTTTGATAGTTCAGGTTTGCAACACCCTTGTAGTAGAATCTGCAAGTGTATATTTTGACCACTTTGTAGCCTTCGTTTGAAACGTCTATATCTTCACATCAAACCTAGAAAGAAGCATTCTCAGAAAGTTTTCTGCGATGACTGCATTCAACTCACAGAGTTGAACAATCCTTTTGATGGAGCAGTTTTGAAACCCTCTTTCTTTGGAATCTGCAAGGGGATATGTGGACCTCTTTGAAGATTTCACTGGAAACGGGATCATCTTCACATAAAAACTAAACAGAAGCAATCTCGGAAGCTATTTTGTGATGTTTGTATTCAACTCCCAGAGTTGAACTTTCCTTTTGAAAGAGCAGCTATGAAACACTCTTTTTCGAGAATCTGCAAGTGGACGTTTGGAGGGCTTTGAGGCCTGTGGTGGAAAAGGAAATATCTTCACACAAAAACCAGATAGAAGCATTCTCAGAAACTACTTTGTGAGGATGGCATTCAACTCATGGAGTTGAACAATCCTATTGATAGAGCAGATTGGAATCACTCTTTTTATAGAATCTGCAAATGGAGATTTGGACTGCTTTGAGGCCTACGGTAGTACAGGAAGGAACTTCATATAAAAGGCAAACGGAAGCATTCTCAGAATATTCTTTGTGATGATGGAGTTTCACTCACAGAGCTGAACATGCCTTTTGATGGAGCAGTTTCCAAATACACTTTTGGTAGAATCTGCAGGTGGATATTTGGAGCTCTCTGAGGATTTCGTTGGAAACGGGAATAATTTCCCATAACTAAACACAAACACTCTGAGAAAGTTCTTCATGATGAATGCATTTAACTCGCAGAGATGAACCTGCCTTTGAGAGTTCAGGTTCGAAACACTCTTTCTGTAGAATCTGCAAGTGGATATTTGGACCACTGGGTGGCCTTCGTTCGAAACGGGTATATGTTCACCTAAAAACTAAAGAGAAGCATTCTCAGAAACTTCTGAGTGATGATTGCATTCAAGTCACACAGTTGAACCCTCCTTTTGATGGAGCAGTTTTGAAACTGTCTTTTTGTAGAATCTGTAAGTGGATACGTGGACCTCTTTGAAGATTTCTTTGGAAACGGGAATATTTCCACAGAAAAACTAAACTGAAGCATTCTCAGAAACCGCTTTGTGATGTTTGTGTTCGAGCCACAGAGTTTAACATTGCTTTTCATAGAGCAGTTTTGAAATATTCTTTTGGCAGAATCTGCAAGTGGACATTTGGAGCGCTTTCAGGCCTGTGGTGGAAAAGGGCCTGAAAGCCTTTTCCTTTATCTTCACAGAAAGACGAGAGAGAAGCATTGTCAGAAACTTCTTTGTGATGATTGCATTCAACTCACAGAGTTGAAGATTCCTTTTGAAACAGCAGTTTCGAAACACTCTTTCTGTGGGATCCGCAAGGGGATATTTGGACCTCTTTGAAGGTTTCGTTGGAAACGGGATAATCTTCACCTAAAAGCTAAACGGAAGCATTCTCAGAAACTTCTTTGGGATGTTTGCATTCACCTCACAGAGTTGAACTTTCCCTTTGATAGCGCAGCTTTGACACACTTTTTCTACAATGTGCAAGTGGCTATTTAGCGGGCTTGGAGGACTGTGTTGGAAAAGGAAATATCTTCTCCTAAAAACGACATAGAAGCATTCTCAGAAACTGCTCTGTGATGATTGCATTCAACTCCCAGAGTTGAACATTCCTTTTGATAGAGCAGTTTGCAAACACTCTTTTTGTAGAATCTGCAAGTGGAGATTTGGACCGCTTTGAGGCCTGTGGTAGTGAAGGAAAGAACTTCATATAAAAACCAGACGGTAGCACTCTCAGAAAATTCTTTGTGACGATGGAGTTTAACTCAGGGAGCTGAACATTCGTTATGATGGAGCAGTTTCCAAACACACGTTTTGTAGAATCTGCGAGGGGATATTTGGACCTCTCTGAGGATTTCGTTGGAAACGGGATCAACTTCCCATAACTGAACGGAAGCAAACTCAGAACATTCTTTGTGATGTTTGTATTCAACTCACAGAGTTGAACCTTCCTTTGATAGTTCAGGTTTGCAACACCCTTGTAGTAGAATCTGCAAGTGTATATTTTGACCACTTTGTAGCCTTCGTTTGAAACGTCTATATCTTCACATCAAAACTAGACAGAAGCATTCTCAGAAAGTTTTCTGCGATGACTGCATTCAACTCACAGAGTTGAACAATCCTTCTGATGGAGCAGTTTTGAAACCCTCTTTCTTTGGAATCTGCAAGGGGATATGTGGACCTCTTTGAAGATTTCACTGGAAACGGGATCATCTTCACATAAAAACTAAACAGAAGCATTCTCGGAAACTACTTTGTGATGTTTGTATTCAACTCCCAGAGTTGAACTTTCCTTTTGAAAGAGCAGCTATGAAACACTCTTTTTCGAGAATCTGCAAGTGGACGTTTGGAGGGCTTTGAGGCCTGTGGTGGAAAAGGAAATATCTTCACATAAAAACTAGATAGAAGCATTCTCAGAAACTACTTTGTGAGGATGGCATTCAACTCATGGAGTTGAACAATCCTATTGATAGAGCAGATTGGAATCACTCTTTTTGTAGAATCTGCAAATGGAGATTTGGACTGCTTTGAGGCCTACGGTCGTATAGGAAGGAACTTCATATAAAAGGCAAACGGAAGCATTCTCAGAATATTCTTTGTGATGATGGAGTTTCACTCACAGAGCTGAACATGCCTTTTGATGGAGCAGTTTCCAAATACACTTTTGGTAGAATCTGCAGGTGGATATTTGGACCTCTCTGAGGATTTCGTTGGAAACGGCAATAATTTCCCATACCTAAACACAAACACTCTGAGAAAGTTCTTCAGGATGAATGCATTGAACTCGCAGAGATGAACCTGCCTTTGAGAGTTCAGGTTCGAAACACTCTTTCTGCAGAATCTGCAAGTGGATATTTGGACCACTGGGTGGCCTTCGTTCGAAACGGTTATATGTTCACGTAAAAACTAAAGAGAAGCATTCTCAGAAACTTCTGAGTGATGATTGCATTCAAGTCACACGGTTGAACCCTCCTTTTGATTGAGCAGTTTTGAAACTGTCTTTTTGTAGAATCTGTAAGTGGATACGTGGACCTCTTTGAAGATTTCTTTCGAAACGGGAATATTTCCACAGAAAAACTAAACTGAAGCATTCTCAGAAACTGCTTTGTGATGTTTGCGTTCGAGCCGCAGAGTTTAACATTGCTTTTCATAGAGCAGTTTTGAAATATTCTTTTGGCAGAATCTGCAAGTGGACATTTGGAGCGCTTTCAGGCCTGTGGTGGAAAAGTCCTGAAAGCCTTTTCCTTTATCTTCACAGAAAGACGAGAGAGAAGCATTGTCAGAAACTTCTTTGTGATGATTGCATTCAACCCACAGAGTTGAAGATTCCTTTTGAAACAGCAGTTTCGAAACACTCTTTCTGTGGGATCCGCAAGGGGATATTTGGACCTCTTTGAAGATTTCGTTGGAAACGGGATAATCTTCACCTAAAAGCTAAACGGAAGCATTCTCAGAAACTTCTTTGGGATGTTTGCATTCACCTCACAGAGTTGAACTTTCCCTTTGATAGCGCAGCTTCGACACACTTTTTCTACAATGTGCAAGTGGATATTTAGCGGGCTTGGAGGACTGTGTTGGAAAAGGAAATATCTTCTCCTAAAAACGACATAGAAGCATTCTCAGAAACTGCTCTGTGATGATTGCATTCAACTCCCAGAGTTGAACATTCCTTTTGATAGAGCAGTTTGCAAACACTCTTTTTGTAGAATCTGCCAGTGGAGATTTGGACCGCTTTGAGGCCTGTGGTAGTAAAGGAAAGAACTTCATATAAAAACCAGACGGTAGCACTCTCAGAAAATTCTTTGTGACGATGGAGTTTAACTCAGAGAGCTGAACATTCGTTATGATGGAGCAGTTTCCAAACACACGTTTTGTAGGATCTGCAAGGGGATATTTGGACCTCTCTGAGGATTTCGTTGGAAACGGGATCAACTTCCCATAACTGAACGGAAGCAAACTCAGAACATTCTTTGTGATGTTTGTATTCAACTCACAGAGTTGAACCTTCCTTTGATAGTTCAGGTTTGCAACACCCTTGTAGTAGAATCTGCAAGTGTATATTTTGACCACTTTGTAGCCTTTGTTTGAAACGTCTATATCTTCACATCAAACCTAGACAGAAGCATTCTCAGAAAGTTTTCTGCGATGACTGCATTCAACTCACAGAGTTGAACAATCCTTCTGATGGAGCAGTTTTTAAACCCTCTTTCTTTGGAATCTGCAAGGGGATGTGTGGACCTCTTTGAAGATTTCACTGGAAACCGGATCATCTTCACATAAAAACTAAACAGAAGCATTCTCGGAAACTATTTTGTGATGTTTGTATTCAACTCCCAGAGTTGAACTTTCCTTTTGAAAGAGCAGCTATGAAACACTCTTTTTCGAGAATCTGCAAGTGGACGTTTGGAGGGCTTTGAGGCCTGTGGTGGAAAAGGAAATATCTTCACACAAAAACCAGATAGAAGCATTCTCAGAAACTGCTTTGTGAGGATGGCATTCAACTCATGGAGTTGAACAATCCTATTGATAGAGCAGATTGGAATCACTCTTTTTGTAGAATCTGCAAATGGAGATTTGGACTGCTTTGAGGCCTACAGTAGTACAGGAAGGAACTTCATATAAAAGGCAAACGGAAGCATTCTCAGAATATTCTTTGTGATGATGGAGTTTCACTCACAGAGCTGAACATGCCTTTTGATGGAGCAGTTTCCAAATACACTTTTGGTAGAATCTGCAGGTGGATATTTGGAGCTCTCTGAGGATTTCGTTGGAAACGGGAATAATTTCCCATAACTAAACACAAACACTCTGAGAAAGTTCTTCATGATGAATGCATTTAACTCGCAGAGATGA